>NC_000005.10:117685564-117988594 GCF_000001405.40 Homo sapiens
ACAATAATATTTTCTCAAACAAGTGGTATACAAGAACTTTGCTGATTAATCTAGAGGTACTTTGTAAATGATAATGTGCTCTGCAAATATTACTTACTATGCACATCCTACTCTGTACCTAACCGGAATCTTTAATATATGAGGCACTCAATAAATGCTAAATGCCTGTAGAATCAAATTGAATTTCAACCCTTCAAGGTGGAATAGGAAATATTAAAACAAAATTTAGAAAAGACACTTTATATGCACAGATTGTTTTTATAGATAAATGATTTCCCAAATGAATACCAACAAATAGGAAATTGTATTGGCGGTAGCTCAATATCTGGAATGTTCTGCTTTAAACCAACGTGTATCTTCATCATTTTTATTTGGTATTATCAAGAAAATAGAATGTAGTCAGGCTTGATAGCATTGCCTTAGGATCTAAAAGACAGAAAGAGCACATTTATAAAAGAGAGACAAATAGAAAGTGAATGAGGAAAAGGGAAATTAATCACTGGGGAGAGACAGGGAAAACGTAACTTCAGTCTAATGAATGCTATGATTGCACTTCCCTGCTTTCACATCAGTGGGGCAAGTGAACATCCAGAATAACAAGGAATCACTTTGCTTTATAGCACTTATGATCTTTACACAAAGTATGAATGTTTTCTGAAATCTTATCAGACCTGTATATACCTTAAGTTTGAGGAGAAGATATGAGTTTGGTTGCTAGCTACTCCACATTCAACATAGAACGAAGGTCCTATTACTCCTATTTTACAACCGAGAAAACTGAAACACAAAGAGATTTCCAGTGATACTTAAAGATAATTTAAGAGAGCCCAAAGTTATAGTGCCTTTGAGCCTAGGAGACAGAGTGAGTCCTGCCAATGATAAGATCCATATTCTGTGCAAAATCAGTGTGTTCCAATTCATCAATGACATTCACCATTCAAGGCCTGAATGACATTCACCTCTTGGGGACTGGAGGGTAACACCCTGGTTACAGATAGTGTTTTAATGGTGGAACCAACCATGGTTTCCTACAGATCTGTGATTCCTAGATGACTTCTCAGGAAGACATCCTGAACAAGAGAGCCAGAGAAAGTGGGAAAAAAAATAGGGCAGGCCTAATAGCAATCATAACCATAGCTAGCATTCTCTGAATGCTTACTATGTGCTGGGAAATATGGTGCATTCTTGATAGGTGGTTCCTTGCTGTTCCTCACAATGACCCTATGAGGCAGGTACTGTTATTATTCCATTTTACAGGTCCAGTATGGAGATAGAAATAGCCACTTGGCTCCAAACACTTTGCTCTTAACAAGTGAAAGTGCCTTCATACTACACCAATCATATGATATAACTGAAGCCAGCAGAGTGTTTTTGAATAGGCGTGTCAGATAGTTCACTTGGGGGTACCTATAAACAACTGTGATGAGTTTGAGAAGGGAATTAAGGGACTATGTGAATGAATGGGGACCTAAGCCCTTATGGGTTTTCACTGCTAAAGAAATCCAAGTTTTTCCTGACCTCGGTAGCCTGAAAGTACAACTAGAGTTGTCGTACTCTGGATACTTGGAAGATGCTCATGGGACTCACATTCCTTTCAGAAAATTTCCCTCAATTTTTCTGGCATCTGTGGATAGTGGAAAAAATATTTCTCTGTTGCTGTTTTATTCCAGTTTCCTGGTTAGTATCTTATCAAAGCTACTTTTACCATTGTAAATCTTTTGGTTCAATCTTAGTGTGTTTTGTTGTCTTCTGTCTTCTTATGGTGGAAGTATCATGGACAACTGGATGATCAAAGTATGTATCAGAGAGAAGGAAGTGGAGGATAAACATGTAAGGTGGAGAAGAAAGGCTGACCTCAGAGTGTGTGTCTCACAGCTGCTTCTTTGTAATGCTTTGGGGTCCCTTTTTTGTGGAAAATGTAAACATACAGGACTATGTATTTTGATGACCCCAACTTGTCAGAACCTTGTTCTTCATGCATAAATTCCCTCTAAAACCGCACACATGAACTACCTTTTCTACTACTGAAAACTGCTTCTAGATCCTTCCTCCATACCATGTGAAAATTATGTGAATAATAACATTATAACTAGTAAAAATGAAATGTATAATAACAATTTAAAGCAATGGTTCTCAAGCCTAACCTTTCTGTGTTTATGAATCACTTTAGCAGTATTGTGATACATATGGAATTCCTTCTCAGAACAATGTTATTAAATGCATAAAATATTTAAAAATAAAAGTAAAAAATCATTTATACTGAAATACAATTATCAAAATATTAAACAACAAATTTGTGATATAATAAGTCATCTTTATTAGCATACTAAATAAAGTTCTTGGCAGCAAGTCTAGTAATTACTGTGATTTCTGAATAATCATGAGGGTCAACAATATTTTACCATATTTGCAACAACTGTAATATGATTTGAAAATAGCTGTGATTTCCATGGGGGATGAAGTAACTGTCGTTGCTCATATTACTGTGCATGTTGCACAGGAATGTTGGCATTAACAATTGAAGGGTATATAAAATTTCAGTTAAAGATTGGTGAAAATAAAGAGGTAATTTTTTTCATCTTTGATTGTCATTCATGATGTCTTGGAGATTCTGTGGACCCAAGGTTTAGAAGACTGAATTAAATTGCTGTAATTGTTGTTCTCTCCAGAGATTCTGCTTCTGTTTATTTTATTTTGTTTTGTTTTGTTTTGTTTTGTTTTGTTTTTTGGAAACAGAGGCTCACTCTGTTGCCAGGCTGGAATGCAGTGGTGCAATCTTGAGTCATTGCAACCTCTGCCTCCCGGGTTCAAGCAATTCTCCTGCCTCAGCCTCCCGAGTAGCTGGGACTACAGGCGTGCACCACCCACGTTCAGCTAATATTTGTATTATTATTAGTAGTAGTAGAGATGGGGTTTCACCATGTTGGCCAGGATGGTCTAGATCTCTCGACCTTGTGATCCATGATCCACCTGCCTCGGCCTCCCAAAGTGCTAGGATTACAGGCATGAGCCACTGTGACCACCCTCTGCTTCTGGTTTTCAAGCTTATGAATGATACACTGTTGAATTTTAAATATGAGTTATTTTATAATAGAGAATTTGGGCAAGCCATTGCCTTCTTCTCATTCCTAAAATCATGCCATAAACTAGACTACCTGGTGTACACACCGATATTTCTGAAATTCCCTCATTTCTAACCATTTGCAATTGAAGGGGGCATCAAAAGTTACAATTGCTATGTGGGTGAGGTAATGCAATTAACACTTTTATCTCTTGTCTAAACTGATATTCAATTGTCTATTTAGTTATATGCCAAAAGAACTAATGAAAGAAGTCATGGGCCAGGTAATTTTGAAGTAAGATATCTGTGCATGCAATTACTTATAAGGAGAATTCACAAAGCACATGTATCCTAAAGAGCCAAACTGCAATTTAACCACCCTGGATATATAAAAGAATAGTGAATGGAAATAAACATGGGGAAGGATTATTGGAGGTGGATAAGTAGGTACTACAAACAAAATTTTCCTATGTATTGCGTGTCCAATGGATAGCCCAGAAATCAGTTCATCTGCTTCTGAATGTGGAATTCTGCACTCCATAGAATTGTTTGTTTTGTTTTTTGTAAAAATTACCTTAAACTAGAACTTTACAAATCATTTTAATTACATGTGTGATACACAAATGTATTGTTCTATAATATTAGCTATTACAGATAAAACCAAAGTGCCCTTTATCCCCCTTTATCCTTCTCTAGATGTGGTTATGTCTATTGAGTACATTTCCACACTTTTCTATTACATATATATTGGATCATGAGTTTATTATTTATTGATTTATTTTATTTATTTATTTTGAGACCGAGTCTCGCTCTGTCGCCCAGGCTGGAGTGCAGTGGCGTGATCTCTGCTCACTGCAAGCTCCGCCTCCCGGGTTCACGCCATTCTCCTGCCTCAGCCTCCTGAGTAGCTGGGACTACAGGCGCCCGCCACCATACCCGGCTAATTTTTTTTGTATTTTTATTTTTATTTTATTTTTTTTTTTTTTTGAGACGGAGTCTCGCTCTGTCGCCCAGGCTGGAGTGCAGGGGCGTGATCTCTGCTCACTGCAAGCTCCGCCTCCCGGGTTCACGCCATTCTCCTGCCTCAGCCTCCCAAGTAGCTGGGACTACAGGCGTCCGCCACTACGCCCGGCTAATTTTTTGTATTTTTAATAGAGACGAGGTTTCACCGTGTTAGCCGGGATGGTCTCGATCTCCTGACCTTGTGATCCACCCGCCTCGGCCTCCCAAAATGGTGGGATTACAGGTGTAAGCCACTGTGCGCAGCCAATCATGAGTTTATTTTTATATCATATACATATTTTTATAGTTTTCTCAACAATATAATTTTGACATGTTTCCGTGTTACTAAACACATATCTATCTACCCTTCTTAGCTACTGAATATGGATACACTATAGTTTATGTGACCATTCCCTTTTTATCCAGCACTTGGGTTTTTTTTCCCCAATATATTTATATTAAAAACAATGTAGCAACAAACATCTTTTTACAAACTCCCTTGAGCTCACATGATTGTGTTTTCATCATGAATAAGCTGATAAATAGACTTCCTGTGTCTTTGAATGTGTATGTGATTGTATATACACATAGTTGTGTATATAATTGTATGAGACACTGCCATATTGTTCTCCACAATGTGTAGATTTATACTTTTGTCAGTGCTGTATAATATTTCCAATTATCTGTACCCTTGCTAACACTTGACTTTATGATATAAAATGACACTAGACTTTTATTTCTTTAGTCAGTCATAACTGGAAGAGATGATGCAAGGTTAAAGTGATTTCTAAACAGAAATTTCAGGGTCTTGTTTGTCCAGTGCCCCACACAAACTCCTCTGAACATTCTCGACGAAATACATGTTCCTAGTGAGCTCCATCAGACAACAAGCTGAGCAAATTATTGGGACATATGCAGTGCCCTGAAGGTCACTATCTTTGAACAAGTGTAGATATGGCACTTTATAGTATGAGAGCTTTGCCTAGAAATATCGTTTCAAATATAGAACTTTCCTCTAGTGATCTCTAAATTCAGCAGGGCTCTTAGGAAAACAAGTGGCTTCTTTAGTTGGTAGAATAAAACAGTACTTTCCAGTTGTATCCAGGAGCACTCAGAGATCGTGGCTGTTTTGTTCCCGTTGTGTTTGTGAGGCATCCATGCTGGGGGAATTTCAACGAACCAGCTGCTGCCACAGACAGCTGGAGCCAGCCCACCTCTCTCTCTCTCTCTCTTTCTCTTTTAGCAACCTCTCCTGGAAGACTATAGGATCCCTGGAAGGTTTTCTTCCCTAGCACCATGATGTGTATATAGTGAATTTTATTTCCACTTTCTACAGCTCCCAGTCATGTTCAAAGTCCCAAATGTCTTGGTTTATTTCATGGCTGTATTCAAGCAGAACTGCTTGTGAAATTAATGAAAGAAACACTGATGGAACAGAAGTAAAAAGGACAAAGCATTTTCCCATCCATTCCCACTTTCATACTCAGAGAGGTACACCACAAAGTAAACAGGGCTCATGTGTCCCTTGAGTTTTCTGAGGCAATAAAGACCCCTTTGCTCTCTATGTGGGAACAGGACTAATTTTGTGTCCATGTTTATTGTAGACACTAAGTGGAAAGCATATTCTCTTGCAACAAGATGTATCATGTCACATCCACTTTTTCTAATGGTCGAAAAACAGTCTGGGACCCGGCTGAGTCAGAATACAGGAATCTTTTGATGCAAAATAATTTCCTTGTCACTTTATTAAATCTTTGTGAAGTTCCATCTTAATAAATTAACATGTAAAGGATGAACATTTTCCAACCTTGGTGGATATAGACTGCTTGTATTTAATTAAAAACATTGATGGCTCCAGAAACAGGATTTGGTGCCCAGAGTGAGAGTTCTCCTAACGGAGCCCTGGAACTTGGACACAATTTTTGGCTTGGGGCTGTCAGTTCTCTTTTCTCCTGATTGCATCTCTCTGTAGAATATCATTTATCTTAAGAGAGCCTAATGTCATACGTCTATGGTGCAATAAGCATAGCTACATAAAACTGTGGATTGAGAAAGGATTGAAACTGAGTTCAAAATATATATAAAGATTAAAAGGACACTTCTTTTTCCACAATAGTCCTTTAGGGAATAATTGTAATTACCATTTATTCCAATTTCCATAGCTTAGTTTTTGGCATCGTTTTGCAGAGTGTGAGAAATTCACAGACTGAATGTGCAGTGTTCAAACTTATAACCTTGAGGATGGTTACTGTCAAGTTTAGCGTCAACTCAGTACTTTCCCCCATTCCTCTGGGTATTCTCTTTTATGTCATTTGTGTACATGCCTCTATTTTCTAGTAAATGTTAAGCTTCTGTTAAAACCTAGATAATATTTTATTCAACTTTATGTATTTTCCAACTTATCTTCTAACACAGTGTGTTGGAATCAGAAGCAGTTCAATAAATATTGGTTAGAGGGAGAAATAGAGGACAGTGTTTCACAAAGTGAGCTACCTAACATGATTACAGGCAGTAAAATAAGTATTTTCATGATAATACTATGATAATTATTTTGTGCTTATTATTAGAAATCACATAGCTTCTGATCAGATCTGCAACTTCAATGTTATTTTAGAAGTTAAAATGCAGACAAATTTCAAAGAATAAATATTAATATTAAATATTAAAATAGGTTTTATGTGAATATGAGAAAAATTGTGGCACTGGTATATTTCAATAGCAACAACATGAGAAAACTCAAGGGTCCATATGTTACCTGTAGTTGTTATTATCTGTGAGTTTTAGCTCACAGATAATTAAAAAAAAAAAAAAAGACAATATGCTGAAGTCAATTTCAGAACCAAGAGTAGAACCCAGGACTCAAATTATACTGGGATATTGAGCTTCTAACTACTATAAATCTTGACTTTCTCATCTAGAAAAGAAACTGATTGGACTAAACTGGGTAGTCGCTCCTGTGCCTGTAACTCCAAAAATAAGAACCAAATAATAGTATTCAATGGTGTTCATGGGTACTTTAAAGAGCCATTTATTTGTTGCATTGTTATGTTTTTTTCTCTGCAATTTCTGTATTCATTCTCAATTTATACAGCATGGCTCTGATCCAGTTTGCTGCCAACCACTATACAATTTATCTCTTTATTATATAGGCCAGAATGTGAGGATAAATTTAATTTTGGGCTCTGGCAAGTCAGATCTTGATATGCTATGGTTCCCCTGGTAGTAATTTAAACAAGTTTCAGTGTCCTTTCAGCGTATATGAATGTAGGTGCTTTTTTACATTTCTTCACCTGCAGAAATGGAAGTTTTAGATAACACTTTTCTCTTGGTAAATAACACATTTTATGTAACCAGTTTATCCTCCCATATGTTTCTCATGGTGATATCTTTCTATTAAGGACTTTTTGAGCACTTAAAGGCCTGCTTCATCAATAAAACTAGATTTATATTGCTTTCACGAGTTCTAAAGTAGTAAATGCTTTAAACAAGGTTTATGGTAAATATAATTGAATTATAGATCCAAAGTTCATATTTATAGAGGAATTATGTTACTGGAAGCCTATAGAAAATGTAGTTGATGATAGCTAATAGAATATTTCACGTTAGGTACAACCACACCAACCTGTAGTCCTGCTTGATATTAATGTTCATATCCTCTTCTTTCCTAAAGTATATTTTCTAGAAATAGAGACATTTTCAATTAAACTGCATACATTTTTCTTAGATTTTCATCTTTTTCTCTGACTCTAACTTTCTTAACATGTCACTCAGTGGGAACTGTTAGAATGGCTAACTATAAGAAGGTTCCTCTTTGCTACATTTCAAGTCTGTTTAAACTCTAAAATGAACAGACAATTTTACTTTATTCTTTGCATGAAATGACATGAATTAGAACAGTCTAATATGAAATATAATTGCTCTAGCAATGCTTGCAACTGGCCTTTGAGGAATAGTGTTTGAAGATCTCAGTGGGACATTAATTCAGTTGAAATTGTGTCCCTCAGGTCAGCCCCAACTTCCCAATTTTTCTTTAGTGATATAGTAGGACACTGTAGAAGTATGTTCACAATCAAATTTACTCCCCTAAGCAGATGATACAGCAAATCTTTTATTCACCTAGGTCAGTTGGCATGATCTAAGCAAAATGCCTTATTAGATGAAATGTTCCCAATTGCTCACTGGATTAATACAAATCTGTTTATCTGAATCTACAGCTGGCAGTGTAAACCCTTTTGTGAGTTCATTGCTAACCCTCTAAAAAAGAAGGTCACATTGCTGAAGTGGGAAAAAGAAAGAAGACAGGGAAGCAATACAGTTCTTTCAGACAAATGGGGCACACTTTTGAACAACCCGGCAAAGCAACTGAGTGGAGACCGTATATCCCAAAAGTACAAGTAAGAAAGCATGATTGTATCAATTGTATCCTTGAGAATCCAAAATATCAATTCCCCTCTTAAAACCTTTAGACCAGCAACTTAGAATTCCCAGTCATTTTTTTATTCATTTAATTGTCTTAATTGTCTATTTCACTTTGGCAGCAAAGCATAGTCACACAGAAAACATACATATATGTAGGGTCTACCATGAACCACTCATTACCTTAAGCATAATTACATATATTTTCTTATTGAATCTACTTGGTAACAATATGAATAAACTGTTATCCATATTTTCCAAATGAGACAAAACTGAGGTGCAAGGAGACACAGTAATCTTTCCCAAGGTCATGGTACTATAAGGTCAAAAAATTAGGGCTTTAACATGGACTAGTATGGCTCCAAGGCCTGTGTTCTCTATACTGCATCATGCTTCTCAAAAAAATTTACTATTTTTATTAGTTACAAACAATAGAACCTAAGCAACTTCATATGATTTAACCTAATAAGTTTGCAGTTGTCAAACCAGGTGGTGCACAGAACACATTTATTTCATATGATTGCTGGCAACACAAGAAGGGCTCGGTTTGGGGGACCACAAAACCTCAATTAGTAGCTTTGGCTGATTTTAAGGGAATGTTTTGTATAATAACCTATTACTTTTGAACAAGGTATAGGCCAATGTTTCCCAAGCTTTTATGGGCATACAATCACCAGGGGATCTTGCTAATGTACAGATTAGGATTCAGTAGGTCCATGGTGGAGTCTGAAATTCTGCAGTTGTAGCAAGCTCCCAGGCGATGCCAATGTTGCTGGTCTGGGAACCACACTTTGAGTAGCAAGAGATTAGGCAACTATTCTTAAAAATAAGTATTCATTCTTTAAGAATAGTCTGGCACCAGTAGCAGCTGTCTCTAGCCTGCAAAGTTGCTAAGTGTCATTTGTGCCATGCCTTGCTTTCTGAAGCCAAGAAATTAAGAACCAGGACCTCTGGACTCTGTGTAAAATGCACCACAGCACACCTCCTGGCTCTGATCTCTTCCTAACAGGAAGTACTTCCAGGCCTAAATAAGTAGGAAGTATTTAGAGAAATAATCCCCCTCATTCCAGCTAGATACCACCAACTCTGTGATAATTTATGTTAGTTGTAAGCAGTGAGAAAAAAACAAGATTAAAAATTTCCAGTTATAAAGTAAGCAAATAATTAATGAGTTAGTAATCTTGAGAAGCTATATTATTAATTTGGTAATGAAGACACTGAAAACTAAGACTAATTATGATTATAATTACTTTGTAAAGACTATAGGTTATTACTTATTTGTCTTTTGCTGAATAACACACCACCTTAAAATTTAATGGCTTAAAATAATAAATATTAAATATTGCTCAGAATTCATTAGGATATCTACACTGGGTCAGCTAGGGCTGAGTGGAATAGTATGGTCTCACTTACAGTACTGAGACCTCAACTGAGACTGCTCTGTCATCTTGGAGCTGGGACCTCTCTCTCTGTGATCCCTCATCCTCAGGAAGATATACGGGATTCATTTTTCATTCTTCTATTTTTATTTTTTTTCTAGTATTACTGAACTGGCTGGAATTTTCAGTAAAATGCTGAATATGAATATTGATAGTAGAGCCCTTGTTTTTTTCCTGATTTAAAGGGAAATCTTTCAACATTTCCCATTGAGAATATTTTTTGTAGAGACTCTTTATCAGGTTTTTAAAAAAGTTGTCTTTACCTAGTTTTCTAAGAGGTTTTTTCCTTATTTTTTCAAATACCGTGTGTTCTGACTTACATATGCCCAATGTTAGTGGAACTAAACTCATAAAAATGGGATTCTTCACAGGGTGATTCCAGAGTTCCCAGGAGCAAAAGAGGGGAGGTGTCAGTGTGGAAGCTGTTTTTTAATCATCTTCTTGCATAGTGTTTTCTTATATCCCATTGTCAAGGCAAGTCATGAGGTGAAGCTAAAATTCAAGGGATGGAGGCATAGACTTCACTTGCTGGGAGGGGCTGTGAAATATTGAGAGCATCTTTTCAATTGAATACATTTTGCTTTCTGACTACAATTAGTGATACTCCATCCACAGGTAAAATATGCTTATACCCATCTCAGGATCCCTCAAAGTCTTATCCAATGTTGTCATCAGGTCTTAATGCAGATGAGGCCCCTTGCATGGAGTTCTTCTTGATTCAGAAACCTGTGAACTAAAAATACAAGTTATCTACTTTCTATCTATCCCACATACAATGTTGGACAGGGACTGATTAACTGCAACAGACACTTCTACTCAAAAAGATGAAGAAAAGGAAGGGCATGGCAGTCACTGATTCATAGCAATTCTGAAATCCAGCCAGGCTCATATTAGCAGGTCTCACTATTTGCGGGGCAAAAGATGATTTCTGATTAGGGCCCAGTTCTGGTCTTCATGATTTACTCTCTAACACTGCATTTCCATATGGCTTTTGGCTCCACTCTCGGTTTTTCACTCTGCTCATTGAGACATCCTTCTTTTTCCACAAGAAATGGCTCCTATTTGCAGCTGAGTAATTTTCACCTTGCTTCTTACAGTAGCAAATGCAAAGGCCACTGGTCTTCTTTTAAATATAAATTATCTTTGTTCCTTTTAGTCTAAGACTGGTTACCTATTGATCTGATTCAGGTTCACTCCATGGCCTGAAAGCCACATTCCTTTTGTTTGTTTGTTTTATTTTTAAAGACCAGCCTCTATTTGGTGCCATGGGTCAAATTGGCATGACACAATACTCTTAGGTTCCTAGACCTTTAATCCAGCTATGTCTTCAAGAGAACTCTAACAACAGATCTTATAGTCACTTCCTTGACTTCACTTTTGGCTCTGCACCTTGTTTCACATTTTAATAGAGTTATTTTTGTAAGATAGAGAGACCATTTTATTTTCCGACCATGCAAGTCCTGGCTTCTAAATTCTGCTGCAAGTTGAATAGTTCCTTCTGTAGCTCATTGACATCTTCCTCAATTTTATTATTCACAGCCATAAACATCCGCTGACACTTTCAACATTCTAGTTGCAGATTTCCTTAGCCAAAATCCAAAAGTTCACTAGGTACACTCTCAGTTTTCCAAATTATCACAAGCAACAGTTTTTCTAATTTGTTTTGCTGCTATATCATGAGTTGCTATTTTTTTAGTATTCTTTAGAAATTTTCATGCCATTTTTTTTCCAGGCTTCACTAACAGTTTAACTACCCATTTTTCTAGACTTTATTAATGCTTTATTCACAATTTTCCAGTCTTTTCCTGTTCCATGGTCTGAAATTCAATGCCATGCACTTTAGATTTGTGTTCAATACCACCTACTTCCAGTATCATTTTATGCCTTAGCTGTTGCTGTAAAACAAATCACTCTAACACCTAGCAGCTTAAAGCAACATACGTTTATTCTTTTTCAAAATTCTGTGGATTTTCTGGATCATTCTTACGTTCTGAGTTCTTAGCTGGGACGGTTGAGAGTTTATGAATGCCTGGAGCTCTTTCCACAAGATTTCTCACCCATGGAAGGCTTGTCTTGGCTTCTGCCCATGATGGTCTCAGGGATCCTAGTAGCAAGAAAGGGCAAGCCCCAAGGTGATATAGTATGTTTTAAAACACTGCTTGCATCACATTTGCTAATATCTTATTAAAAAATTAAGGTAACATGGGCAAAGAGAGATTCAAGGGGTAGAGACATAGACTTTGTGTCTTGAAGAATGGATCTGTAAAATACTGATTTTTTTCCTTCTATCTATTATTCTAGATTCCAAAGAAATATACTCTTACTCTACTTGAAAACTATTTAAAGAAATAAAATTTATTTTTAACATAGAATATTAGAATTGACATTTCATGAAACATACACAAATATATATAGAAATAGCTATAGCTATGCATAATATATATATACATATATACACTTATACACACACATAGGTGCGTGCATATGTGTGTGTGTGTATTCCTAAATCAGATGTCTCTCTTCTGAATAAAAAGCATTAGATTCTTATCTTCTTCCAGAATTTCTGTGCAATTTTTTCTCCATTCTCTTTTACAGTTATACTCTACCTTAATTCATTCTATTTAGCTAAGGAACTTTTAAGATGGGAATTTAGTTACTCAAAATCATATTATTTATATAAAAAATTTAGCATCAAATTTGCATGCATTCTGTAGGTCAAATCATCAATTATTTTTATACATAATTACATAATAAATTCCATATTATAAATGTTCTTTTAAGAACACCATTCCTACAATAAGTACAGTGTTTACTTTCTACATGTAAATTTAAGTTAGGTAAAATGTTAACAAACGTAGAATTGAGTTTGTTACCTTCAGTTACCAGAATTTGTCTGGAGTATTCTAATTTAAATTATACATTTAAATATTTCCAAGCAAAATAAATAATTTTTACATAATTGGAATTTATTTCCACCTAAAAAGTAGCCAATCGCTTCAATATTGAAAATTTAATTCATTTAGAAAGAGAAGTATACTTCTAATCATAGAATTTATCCATTACTCTGCTCACATTTGGAATACTTGAATATGGAAATATTTTGACAATATAATTACAAAGAAGTATGTGATTTTTATTTCTCCATGATATATTGAATTTATCGAATGTTGCCATTTTTCAAGGAGACTGTCATAAAAGGAAAATGACGTGAGAGAACTGGAAATATTGGAAAGAAAATATTGATGAAGGATATACCACAGATTCTAAGCTGAAAAGGAAAGTGAATGGTAGAAATTGATTGAGATAGAGAAAGTACAAGGTTAATGGGACAAAATAACTCAGAAATGGTCTTAAAAAGAATAAGAAGGAAAACAGAAGTGGAGAATATGTAAATGAGACAATTATAGATGTGTTTCTCAGAATATCTCCCTGTTAATATTTCTCATTTGACTGCCACTTTGTTTTCAATTTTAAAATGTAGTAGAATATATGTATCTCTCATTACAAAAGTTTTCATCAAATGTTTATAAGGTAAAATTTTTATTTATGCTCTTGTAACAGTATAATATTTAAAATATATTAATCTTTGTTTAATTCCTATTTTTATCATCTACATGATTGCACAAGAAGTGCAAAAAGAGCCAAATAATTAAACAATGTTTGTTTTAAATTCAACAATGACCCCTCATCTCTCATTTCCCACTCTCACTTTTTTGGCCATATAAGCTAAAAATAGTGTTTGTTTTTCTATTTTAAGCATTATCTATTGACCTCCCACTGTGGATGAGGATTTTCTCTTTCATCCCTTCTTAATTGCCAGCACACACATGTGTCCTTTTCATAATCCTATACCTGCTAAATATTGTAAATTAGGTTAGATCAACATGCAATATTTACATTAACTCATTATTATTACTACATAGGATCTCTATTCACCATCATCTGGGGAAAATATCCTTTGTCTCTTGTTTGTATTGTGTCTCTTGTATCTTGTCTCCCACGTCTTCTTCCTTTCTTGGTTTACTCTCTCATTGTGGGAGATAATAGCCTACTATAACTTCCTGAAAAAATATACGTGGGATTTTGGGAGGTTTTCTTGCATGATGATATTTTGGCTAGGCAAACTGTACTCTGTTGGAAATAATTTCTCTTCAGAATTTTGACGGCATTGGCTCACTACTTTCTAGTTTCAGAATTTGTTATTCAAAAGGCCCAAGCCATTCTGATAGCCTAATTCCTGTGGAAATCTAAATCGTCTCCCCTCTCTAGCCCCTGTGGAAGTTTGTAAAAGATCCTTAGTTCTCTGAAATTTCATAGTGATTTAACTTTGTATGATTTATTTTAGCCATGTGTGTAGGTAATTATAAGGCCTTTCAATATGATAATTAAAGTCCTTTAGTTCATGAAATAATTTTGAATTGTTTCATAAATGATTTTCTCTATTTGTTTTACTCTTGTCATTCTTTCTGGAATTTCTTGTATTCAGATGTTGAACTTTTCCAATTATTTGTTTAATTTTTGTAAGATTTTCTCATATATTTTTCCATGTATGTTTTTTTTGGCTCTACTTAATGGGATTTTTTTTTTACTAAGTTTGTCAGCATTCTATGAGTTTTCCTTTCTGTTATCACTTTTTTACAAAATATTCAAAAGCTCCTTTTGGATCATTGAGTGTCCTTTATAGATAGATAGATAGATATCTAGATATACACACACATTTATATATATACATTTATATATAATTACATATATTCTGAAATTTCTTTGTGTGTATATATGTATGTTCTTGCTTCATGGATGCAATATATTCTCTTATTTATCTAAAGACATTAATAGTTTATTTGAAAAATTGTTAGATTTGCATAATATGTTTTATGTTGCTTTTGTTTCAAGTGTGTGTGTGTGTGTGTGTGTGTGTGTGTGTGTGTGTATGTGCTTGTCATTGTAAATTTTATACTAGGAATTTCTCAAATATTGTTCTTCACTTATTTTGGTCTTTGATTTTTTATTATAGGCTTTTTTCAGATAGTGAATAATCCATAAATTTCTACTCATATTATACCGTATAACACTGAATAGATAATTGAAATCCCATGGACTTGCTGACTGAATTTCACTAATGAGTGCACTGCCTGTGCTTTTCCTTCGGTAGACATAAGATGCCCATCACTTTGTGCCTTTTCCTTGTAAGGTCTAATTCACTAGAGAAGAATGTGTCAACGTTCTTGCTAGCATTCTGTAAGCCAACTGGCAAAAGAGGAGGGTTCAGGAGCCTCAGGAATTGGTATGTAAATATCCACTTAATGCCACCTTCACCTCCCTCATTTTCAGTAGAGTATCCCTATCCACAACTATGCCTAATTTTTCCTACTCCAGAGGCTCTCTATTTTACCCTCTGGAGAGAACAAACCTCCAGAGTTCTGCTGAAGTATAGGAAGGTTGGTTTCTTGGCTAATGGAACTGAGGGTGGGGATTGGATCAGAGATATGCAAAGCCCATTAGGGGACCTCCTTGGTTTCAACTAAACATTCAGCTTCACAACACATAGGCCACACTTGTACCAAGCTACTCAGAATGATATAAGCAGGAAACACAGCTTGGAAGGAGGGCAGTATCAGGCATTCCTTCAAAAAGAGTCCTTGCAGCAGCTCACATGGCAGTTCACATCCAGTAGCTACTGTTATCCCAGATCACAACTGGAGGGCTAGGAGGTAAGTCCGTGTTAGGAGGTGCAAGAGTCACTTTGGCTGAAAAGACCCATGACTCATAGCATAACTTCCAGAGTTGCATGAAAAACTTACCAGCCATTACACTCAGAATAGGCCAAAGCTACATCCAATCCAGATGTAGTTTATCAGGAGTCATTGCATTCTAAGCAATGTTGCCTGATAACATGGTTAATATATTATTTTTATCAAGTTTCCAGAGGATCAGAGTTAGACAGTTAAATAAAGTGTAAATTCTGAAGCCCAAAGAAATAGCTTTTATTAAGGCTTTATCCAGACAATCTAATTGCTTCTTTTACTTTTTATTTTTATTTTTTAATGAAGCAGGAAGGAAAAGAGAAAGTATGAGTAGAAATATGGGGATAGAGGCAAATTAACAAAGAGTGAAGATAAGGGCATTTCTGTCTATTTCTTCATTTTCCAGGAAGTATGAGGTAAGAACACCATCGTAGGGAAAGGATAGATAAGGAAGTGAGTGATTTGTGGGAGGAAAAAGTGTGAAGTAGCATTTTGGTAAAGTATATAAGGAGTATCCTAACTCCTCCAAAATATATTATGGTCAGTAATTTTTTTATTTAAGAGTATTGGTGTATTACTTATAGCAGATGAAATACAATAATGTGTATAATGGTCTGAATACAATAGAAGTCGATTTCATGCTCATATAATTGAATTAGGCAGGAAGACAAGGTGGTGGCAGGACCCTCTTCCATGTAGTCAAGTTGGGACTCAGACTGGCAGAACCACTGCCGTCTTCAAACTTAACTTCCAAAGTTATTGGGTCTTCTTTCTTCCAGCCAGAATGGAAGAATGCAAATGAGAATTTTCTTTGCGTTAGGCCTGGAAGTGACAGCTCTCCCTGCAAATGAGCACACCTAATTGCAAGCAAGGCTGAGAAATATCCAGCTATGTGCCCAGTGTACTAAGGAGAGCATGGATTTTGTTGTACAGTTAGTGAGCATTTAGATTTTTTAAATATTTGTATTGAATGCATAAAAATAAACATGTTAGAATCAAACGATATATGGTAGTCAGTTGCTTTTAAAGACATTATTTGAAACATCTTATTTTTTAAAACTGTCATGTCCATAAAATGCTGTTTAATGAATTAGTGGCAATGATTTCAATAGCATGACATTAAGGGTTATCATTATATCATTTTAGTAGTGATTGACATGCATGTAAAAATGTACACTGTTCTGTTACAAAATATACCGCTAGACTTTCCAAAACTGCCCATGGATCAATTACCTTCATAATAAATGAAGAATTCATCTTTAGTTTTAAAGAATAAATTAATAGCTTATTTTTTATCTCCATGTCTTATTTTCATAGATATTCATTTTTTAAAATTCAGGTACCACCATATTTTGCTCAATTGTACATGGTATCAATTTACTATGTTACAGTGGGTATGCCATTTTATAGGCTCAAAAGAAGTCAAACGTGGAAGTAGGAATATCCAATTTATTAAAATGCATCTGTTACTCTTTCTGATATTGAATGAGCCTATTCTTTTTGGTGATCTTACATTTCTTAATGTAATATGGGAGCTACAGGGGGAGCTGAGAAAATATTTCTATCAAAAATATACTTTATGATATTAAAATAAAATAATAATTGAAGGATACAACTTTTTAACTTGTAATTAAGGTTAAATATTAAAATGGGTATTATCCCCTTAGTTCATAAATGTTAATTGTTTTAATTTTACCAGTAATATCATCCCAGTTTTATATATTTATGAAATGTCTTTTCTTTTACTGATGGTGGTTTAAAACATGTATTATTTTCCTTTTAAAAATGCAACTTCACAAAAAAGAGAAGAAAAAGAGGGTAAACCCACCATTTGGCAGCCTGTTTCTATTCATTCACATCTTTCTGTAACATTATCCTTTTGATCTATTGGGCTGCAGCAAAAGATGAAAGTTTCATGGTACGTGAGCCACACTTGCATTACTGTTTTTCAGTTACACAGGGATGAAAAGAAAGTGCTGTCCCTACTCTCTGATTATTTTTGCATATGTGTAACTTAGAAAGTGACTGTAAAAACTGAAACTTTCCATCAGTCTAGTTTGCAAAAAGAAAGCTTCTCATGGCCAATGTAGAAGAATAAACATCTAAGTTCTGATGTTTGAAAAATTAATCCAAGGCCAATGCCTTAGGATTTAAAACATTTAAACTTGCCTTCATTAATGATAATCTATCCATTACTAAGGAGATTCACATGTGTTACATAATTACTTCATATCTACCCAGAAGTGGAATCTTTGGAAGCCCCTCCTTTTACTCTCCAGTGGAGAAATAACCATGAACCAAGCAACCAAAGTAACTCTCAATCTCAACACTACCATTCTGCACAATATCAGTGTGTCTGTAATCCCTCAACTTCAGGAAAAGAAGGTACAATTACAAAGGAGAACAAGTCTGGATATATTGTTTAGACATATTTCCTACACTTAAAAAAGAAACAAAAAACAATATACATTTGCTAAGAACCTAAAAGCCATCAGGAAATATATTTGTAGCCAGAGGTTACAAGACAACGTATTCACTTATCTAATTTTATTTGAGGAGAAGGAAGAAAACTTGTTTGGATGCTGATTTAGCATTTCAAGCTATAGGAACACAAAGGCTGGTAAGATGTCTCATTGCCAAATGATGCTTTTTCAGAAATTAATGCTAAAAATATAGAATTAAAAATTATCTTATAGGCTATCTTTTAAAAAGTCCCTCCTTTTATCAATGAGTAAAGTAAAATAAAGTGAGATTATACACTGACGGAGATGAAAATCAGAGGTTTTAGTTCGGTGGAATAATGAAGATTATCTGATACAAGGTGATACCTGGTGTTCTATATCTAGCTGGGTTTTCGGTATCATACCATGACAGGCATAAATTCTGAACATCAGTTCTCTAAAAGTGTGAGCAGAATGGCAGAAGACCTAGGTTTTTGCTCATTTTCTTTTCTTCTTTTGATGAGAGTTGCATGCTTATATATTGTAGAAAGGATACACCTCTAAAACACTGCTCCCTTAAAATGTAGTGTTGTGTGCTATTCCTGATCCTACAAGGATCTTTGGTCTTGGATAAATGATACATGAGCATGTTAAAGAAGCTCTTGAAGATTATTTATGATTCAAAGTAATCTAGGCACATACCATTTAAGAAACCACAATTTAAAAAAAAATCTGCCTAGACCTCATCCCACTTCTTTCTTTATGTATCAATTTGTCAAGTTTTTATTAAGCATATGTACTTTTTTTTCCTCTTCTGGGTGCTGTTCTAGGAAAGCAATTCATAAATAAGATTGGTAATATTCCTCCCCTCAAGGAGCTTAGAAACCAGTAGTAGGAGATTCATAGAAAACAAGAAAAAAAATAAGTGAATTTCAAAAGTGGTATTTCCAGTGAAGGATACAGAAAAATATGATAGTGTTTGGGAGAGATAATATTTCACAAAACGATCAAGGAAGGACTCTTTAAGGAGGCGAATTGAAAGACAATCTAAAAGATAAGAATCTAACCATGAGCAATTTAGGGGAAGAATGTTTCCAAACAGAGGGTTAAGCAAGTACACAATGAGGGAAAAATCAGGGCTTGTATTTTTGAGGGAGGGAAATAGAGTCCATGTAAATAGAGCACAAGGAATGAGGATAATTTTGGCATGTAACGAAACAGAAAACTTGGCAGGGCAGATTATGAAGCACTTATGGGCTATCATAAGAAGTATAGATTTATCACACTTTGAAGTTGAAAGAAACAAAAACATTACAACACAGACTGTCCTTTAAGGCAAAAATAATATTAATGTTCTTTATTTCCTTAATACTTACCAGAGTGTCTACTATGTAGCAGACAATCAGTAGATATGTGTTTAATTAAACATATAAAATTTGTTGGTAGGAAATGGCTGATATTGCTAGTATGAGCAATGTGTTTTTAAGAACCTCACATTTTCATTTCATATCCCATTATTAAATAATATGCCTATGAAGAATGATGTAAGCAGGGGTGTGGAGCCCACACAGGAACAGAAGTTTAGTGCATTTCTTTTTGGGAATCTCCAGAGTATCTACTTCATGATAAAATGGAAAGCTTTCAATGTGAGAACCAAACATTTAAAATGTAACCCAGACTGGACCACTCTAAACTGCCTGAGATTTCCTGGCAGGGTCCATTTGCACATATTTTTCAACATTTAAGTAAATTCCCATCTCTTTCGTTATAATTTTAACATTTTTTAAAAGGCATCATCAGAAAAGATTCTGTGACGAAGAGCATTACAACACTCACAGGGCACCCACACATGCATCCAAAGACTTCAAACTGTATGGGCAGACTTTTTTTTTTATTTATTATACTTTAAATTTTAGGGTTCATGTGCACAACGTGCAGGTTAGTTACATATGTATACATGTGCCATGTTGGTGTGCTGCACCCATTAACTCGTCATTTAACATTAGGTATATCTCCTAATGCTATCCCTCCCTCCTCCCCCCACCCCACAATAGGCCCCGGTGTGTGATGTTCCCCTTCCTGTGTCCATGTGTTCTCATTGTTCAATTCCCACCCATGAGTGAGAACATGTGGTGTTTGGTTTTTTGTCCTTGCAATAGTTTGCTGAGAATGATGGTTTCCAGCTTCATCCATGTCCCTACAAAGGACATGAACTCATCCTTTTTTATGGCTGCATAGTATTCCATGGTGTATATGTGCCACATTTTCTTAATCCAGTCTATCGTTGTTGGACATTTGGGTTGGTTCCAAGTCTTTGCTATTGTGAATAGTGCTGCAATAAACATACGTGTGCATGTGTCTCTATGGCAGCATGACTTATAATCCTTTGGGTATATACCCAGTAATGGGATGGCTGGGTCAAATGGTATTTCTAGTTCTAGATCCCTGAGGAATCACCACACTGTCTTCCACAATGGTTGAACTAGTTTACAGTCCCACCAACAGTGTGAAAGTGTTCGTGTTTCTCCACATCCTCTCCAGCACCTGTTTTTTCCTGACTTTTTAATGATTGCCATCCTAACTGGTGTGAGATGGTATCTCATTGTGGTTGTGATTTGCATTTCTCTGATGGCCAGTGATGATGAGCATTTTTTCATGTGTCTTTTGGCTGCATAAATCTCTTCTTTTGAGAAGTGTCTGCTCATATCCTTCGCCCACTTGTTGATGGGGTTCTTTGTTTTTTTCTTGTAAATTTGTTTGAGTTCATTGTAGATTCTGGATATTAGCCCTTTGTCAGTTGAGTAGATTGCAAAAATTTTCTCCCTGAATGGGCAGACTTTCAACAACACATCCTGTATTATTATAGCATTGCTCTGGGATAGTCTGATTCCTGATGTATATAATTACAGGGGCTGAAACAAACCTCAAATCTTTAGCGTGTCCCTGGCCTACATAACCATTACCTAGACTTAGCTTTGGCTGAGGAGGAAAGTCCTTTACCGCAGCACTCCTGCTTTAATTTTGTAATTTCTCTCAGAGTCAAATTTACCACGAGCCCTCAAAATACAGCGTAGACTTTGAGGGAAAGTAAAATGCCTGCTTTGTATGTTCACAGAGGTATTAATCCAGTGAGCTTCATGGTTCAAATCCACTCATGCTTTTTTTTTTTTTCTTCGTTGATTGAATCATACTTGCTTTTGGAGAAATGAAGTCTCACCATACAAATTATGTCTCTAGAGTACATTGGACACCTGGAGAATGCAATGACTTTCAGGCAACTCTGATGCCATGGGGCAGATTCAGATCATTTAGCAATTGACTGATTGCTTTCACCAACTGATAGCCAAGCAGCTTGAGAGTTAACGTAGAGATCCATGGTTGCAATACCGAAAAGGAATGTTTGACTATATCCGAGTCATACATTCTCATTACTGTTGGAAACAAGGATTTATATTTGGCATATCTTTCAGTTACACACTATAAAAGAAGAAAATGTTGTGTTCATCCTGGCAGAAACAATATTTTCCCTTTTAGATTTATTTTAAAAATAATTTACTGATTGAAAAGTCACACAGGTAAATCTTTTTTTTATTATTATTTATTTATTTATTTATTTTTTTAACAGAAATAATGACATTCCCAGACCAGCAGACTTCAGTTCAAAATGTTAAACCAGGCACCATCTGGAATATTCATTTTCAAACTCTATGCCAATGGGATCAAACCCTGGCATGCTCGACCTACATTTGATTAACATTCTTTTAAAATAGAACTGGCAAATCAAAAGTCCTTTAGATTCCTGACCTTTGCTCAGAGATATAATGACAAGCTTGAGATGGCCTTTGCTATTTAATACAGAAAACTTCGACACCTGGCTGCACAGTGAACATGGAATGGAAGAACGTGATATTTAATTATTAGCAAAGTCACACAATTGTCCAGAAACAAAGTCTATGAGTTAAATGTATATTGGAGAGCTTAGAAATGTCACTTAAATGCTCCTAGTCAAAATTCCACTGCTTATTAATCTCACGTAGACATTCTCTTGCATGAGTTATTCACTATTCAATGTGGTGAGAGTTTGGGTTTCCTAATTGCATCCTAAGTTCTGTAAGGGTAAGGGAAGGTACACCCATTATATTATTTCTTCTATAGCCTCCATCTCCTTTTTATTCATTGTTTTTTGAGTGCCTTCTGTTTTCCGAGCAGCAATACTGAAGGTTGCAAATATTAATATCAGTGTTCCCTGCTCTTGGGAACTTCAATCTAATGGAAAAGACAGCTATGAAAACAAATAATTATAACATATTGGGAAAAGAGGTATACTATAGGCATGTAAAGAATGTAATGGGACAAGAAACGGAACAACCACATTGGCCTGGAGAGTTAGAGAAAGCTTCCCAGAGATTACTTGGGACTTGGCCTTGAAACGTGAGTGGGATTTAAACCACAGTAAGAAGAGGAATACCATTTTAGGCAATGGCAAAGGCCTGAAGGCCCATACGACAGTGTAGAAACATTAGTCCTTGTCCTATTTAGCTTTGGCTAGAAGAAAACACCTTCCCTAGAAATCTTGCTATAACTACATGATTTTAGTAAGAGTAATAGGAACATAATAGGAATGTAAATTCTGACCAATATAATATAGCAGAAGTATGTGGCTTAAGGCAAGTCATTTGGAGCCAGACTGCCTGGGTACAGATTCCAGCCTGAACACATAAATGCTATGTTACTTTCAGCAAGTTACATAAGTGTTACAAGCTTCAGTGTCCTGGCCTGTAAATTAAGGACGATATTAGTAACTATCTCACATAAATTATTGTACAGATTAAATAATTATTTTAAAATACTTGGAAAACTGATGGATTTGTGAAAACTTTTTATAAAAATTAGCTACAAATGTTTGAATTAATTGCTTTTTAATAGCTTTATTGAGTTGTAATTTATGTACCATAAAATTCACCCATTTAAAGTGTGTAAGTCAATGAGTTTTAGTAAATTCACAGGGTTTTGTAACCATCACCTCAACCTAATCTTAGAATTTTTTTTTTTACTCAAAAAGAAAGCTCATACATATTAGAATTCAATCCTTATTTCCACCCAATCTGCTTCTCAGATCTAAATAAACACTAATCTTTTTGTCTCTACTGATTTCCCTATTCTGAAGATTTCATATAAATACAATTATATGTATGTGTTCTTTGTATCTGGCTTCTTTCACTTAGCGTAATGCTTTCTAATGCTTTCAAGGTTTGTCCATGTTGTAGCATGTATCAGAACCTCATTCATTGTTATGGCTAAATATTATATTGTATAAATATACCACATTGCATTTACTTATTTTTCTGTTGGTGAATATTTTAGTCTGCATTTTGGCTATTATAAAAATGATACTATGAGAATTTTTCATAAGGATGTATAAGTTTTTGTATGAATATATGCTTTTGTTATGTTTTTGTGTGTCTTGGCTATATATGTAGTAAAATTGCTAGGTTTTATGGTAACTATACTTTTTTTTTTTTTTTTTTTTTTTTTTTGAGATAGAGTCTCGCCCTGAAACCCAGGCTGGAGTGCAATGCTACAATCTCGGCTCACTGCAACCTCCACCTCCCGGGTACAAATGATTCTCCTGTCTCAGCCTCCTAAGTAGCTGGGATTACAGGTGCCTGCCACCACACCCAGCTAATTTTTATATTTTTAAGAGAGACGGGGTTTCACCATATTGGCCAGGCTGGGCTAACTATACCTTTAACATTTTGAAAAACTGCCAACTGTTTGCCAAAGCAGCTGCACAGTTTTACATTTCCAGATCTTTTACCCATTTTAACAATTGAGTTGTCTCATTACTGTTCAATTATTAGAGAGTTGTAGATTCTTGATACAACTTGATTAGATAAATGATTGCAAATATTTACTCTCATTCTATGGGTTGTTTTTATTTTTTTGATGGTGTTCTTTGAAACCCAAATATTTTTAATGTTGATGATGTTCAATTCATCTTTCTGATGTATTGTAAAGAATTAGTTTCACTACCTTAAAAGTACGCTATGCTTTATCTATGTCCTTCCCTTCCTATCTCCAAAACCCTAGGAACCACCCATCTTATTTCTGTACTATTTTGCCTTTTCAAGAATGTTGAAAACATACAGTAAGTAGCTTTTTCATATTGACTTCTTTCACTTAGAAATTTGCTTTTATGATTTCTCTGTTTTTTTTTAATCCTTCATGTCTTATTTCTTTTTATTACTGAACAGTACAGTTTGCTTATAAATTCACCTACTTATGGACAATTTGGTTGATTCCAAGTTCTGGTAATTATGAATAAGGTTGCTACAGACATGTGCTGGTTTTGTGTGGCCAAAATTTTCAGTTTATTTAGGTACATCTGAAGAAGCACAATAGCTGGATCATATGGTAAGAGCTTGTTTAATTTTGTAAAATACTGCCAAATTTTTTCAAAGTGACTATACCATTTTGCATTCCCATCAGCAATGAATGATAGGTCCTGTTGCCCTACATCCTCACCAGCATTTGGTGTTGTCAGTGTTTTGAGTTTTAGCTTTTCTAATAGGTAATATTTTGTTGTCGATGTTGTTTTAATTTGCAGTTCCCTAACGACATATGATGTTGAGTATTTTTTTATATGCCATTCACTATCTGTGTATCTTCTTTTGTAAGATATCCACTCAATTTTTTTTCCTTTTTAAAATTGGATTGAGTTTTTTTTTATGTTTAAGAGTTTTGCATATATTGGATATCAGTCCTTTTATTTTATCTTATTTTATTAATTTATTTTTTTGACAGAGTCTTGCTCTGTCGCCCAGGCTGGAATGCAGTGGTGCTATCTTGGCTCACTGCACACTTCACCTCCCAGGTTCATGCCATTCTCCTGCCTCAGCCTCCCAAGTAGCTGGAACTACAGGTGCCTGCTACCACGCCTGACTAATTTTTTGTATTTTTAGTAGAGACAGGGTTTCACCATGTTAGCCAGGATGGTTTCAATCTCCTGAGCTCATGATCCGCCCGCTTTGGACTCCCAAAATGCTGGGATTACAGGCATGAGCCACCACGCTGGGCCGGATACCAGTCCTTTATCACGTTTTTGCAAATATTTTATCCGTCAGTAGTTTATTTTCTCATTCTCTTAACAGTGTCTTTCACAGAGCAGAAATTTTCTAATACACCTAGATTTTCTTTTATGTTATGTTTCACAGATTTTATAGTTTCACCTTTAACATTTAGGTCTATGACCTCTTTCGAGTTTTTATTTATTTATTTATTTTGTGAAAGTTACAAGGTAAGTGTCTAAGTTCTTTTCTTTGTATAAGGATGTCAAATTGTTCCATCAACTATCCTTTATTTATTGAAATATCTTGGATTCTTTGTCAAAGATCAGTTGACTATGTTTGTATGAGTGGATCTATTTCTGGGCTTTCTATTCTTTCCTGCTGATTGATTTATTTTTTACCAATGGTATTATTTTGCCAATATCACACACTATTGGTATTGGTAAGATACCATTTTATTACTGTAACTTCACAGTAAGTCTCAAAATCAACTAATGTCAATATTCCAAATTTGTTCTTCCTTTTCAGTAGTGTGTTGACCATTTTAGGGTCTTTTGCCTTTCTCTATAAACATTTTAATCAATTTGTTGATATCTACATGTTAAGTTACCGGGAGTCAAACTGTGTTGAATCTAGAGATCAAGTAGCAGAGAATTTACATCTTAACAATATTGAGTATTCTTACATATACATGAGCATGAAATAGCTCTTCATTTACTTGGGTCTTTTAAAATTTTCTTTAGTTTTGCAATTTTCCTCATATAGGTGCTGTACATATTTTGTTAGATTTATACATAATTTGGTTTATTGGTAATGTCAACAGTATTGTTTTTAATTTCTTATTTCAATTATCAATTTCTGGTATATGGGCAATCTATTGACTTTTATATATTAACCTTGTAGCTAGCAACCTTGCTATAATTGCTTATTACTTCTGAGAGGTTTACTTGGTTGATTATTGATGACTTTCTACACAGAAAATGATGTCATCTGTGAACACAAATATTTTCCCCCCAACCTTTCTACCTTTTATTACCTATTATTTTCTTATTGTATTAGTTTTGACTTTCCATAAAATTGTGAGTAGGAGTGGCTAAGAGGGGATGCATCTTTGGCAGGAAGATTCTTAGGCAGAAAGCGCAACATTTACTATGATGTTAGCTGTAGGTTTTTAGTAGATATTATTTATCAGAAAGCAGAACTCCCTCTCCATTACTAGGTGTTTAAGGGTGTTATAATTTGTTGAAGAGTTTTTCTCTATTAATATAATATGATCATCTTAATTAGCTTGTTGATTGGATGAATTATATTAATTGATTTTCAAATGCTGAACCAGTATTGCATACTTAGATTTTTAAAATATATTGTTGGGTTTGATTTGGTAATATATTTTGAGAATTTTTTGCATCGTTGTTCATGAGATATGTTTGTCTGTGGTTCAGATATCTTTCAATATTTGTATCTGGTTTTGGTATTAAAGTAATGCTGTTTTCACAGAATAAATGTGAAAGTGTTTTGTATGCTTTTGTTTTGTAGATACCTAAACAACTGGAGTACACACTTTTAAAAAGGATTGTACAGAACTTGTATTTTTTCTTAAATATTGGGTAAAATTCACCAGTAAAATCATCTGAGCTTAGTGCTTACTTTTTTGGACGTTTATCAATTTCTTATTCAATTTCTTTAATATAGGCTGTTCAGATAAACTAGTTCTCCTTGTGCCAGTTTCCAGTTTCTCTCTTTCATGGAATGGGTCAGTTTTATGTAGGTTATCAAATTTGTGTGAGTATAGTTGTTCATAATATTCCCATATTAATCTTAAAATATCCACAGGATTATCTCTCATTTTTGATATTAGCAATTTATGTCTTCTCTTGTTTTGTCTTGATTTATATGCCTAGAAGTTTATCCCTTTGTTGAACTTTTTAAAGAAGCAGCTTTGGTCTTGTTGATTTGGCCCATTGACTTCATGTTCGAAATGTTAATGATTTTCCCTCTAACTTTTATTATTTCTGTCTCGTTGTTTTGGTTTTCCATTGCTCTTCTCCAGTTTATGAAGTTTAAATGATCAATTTTAGATCTTTCTTCTTTCCTATTATATGCACTTCATGCTATAAATTTTCCTCTAAGCACTGTTTTTGCTACATCTCACAAATTTTGATAAGTTGCATTTTCATCTTATTTGCTCAAAATATTTTAAAAATTTTCAAGACTTTTAAAATAACTTTATTTTAGGTTCATGGGTACACATGCAGGTTTGTTACATAGGTAAACTCGTGTCATGGGGGTTCAGTGTACAGGTTATTTCATCACCTAGCTACTAAATGTAGTACCTGATAGTTATTTTTCTGATTGTCTCCCTCCTTCTACTTTGCTCCCTCAAGTAGGTCCCAGTATCTGTTGTTCCTGTCTTTGTGCCCATTGCTTTTTATTATTTAGCTTCCCCTTAAAATTAAGAAAATGCAGCATTTGGTTTTCCTTTCCTGCATTAGTTTACTAAGGATAATGGCCTCTAGCTCCATCTATGTTGCTGCAAAGAACATAATCTTATTTTTTTTTTATGGCTGCATAGTATTTCAGGGTGTTATATGAAGCAGAAAAATGCAAAAAATAAAAACAAATTTCCTTTCTCCTTTGGCATAAGTAAACTTATGAGCTTATGGATTCCTGTTTTCTGTAACTAGTAACTTCGAGTATTCTGTTTTTCATCTAAGCAGCACAGTGAAGGTCATGAGATGCCTGAGCAGGCCTGGATTGCAGCCATCTAGGTGCCATAGTGAAGGTTATGAAATAAGCCCGTGCAAGGCACTTGAGCAAGCCTAGATAATAGCCACCTGGGCCGCATAGCAAGAGTCACATGTAACCCTGAGTTATGAACCTGTCACAGATTGATTAACTGTGTTTGTTCTTCCTCCGTACATTTGCTTTCATGCCACTATGCTTCACGCCACTGTAAGCTTGTTTCAAACTAGCCAACCCCCTTTTTGAAGTGTGTATAAGAGTCAAGTCCTGTCTTTGTTCTGGGACCAGTCGCTGGATGTTAATCCACTGGATGTGAGTGCACTCAGTAATGTCCTCCTATTCTACCTACTGGTCTCTCTAGTCCCCCAAATCCTGCAAAATACATGTACCACCTACATTTTCTTTACCCAGTCAAAAGGTAGCCCAAATAGCCAAGGCATTCCTAAGCAAAAATAACAAAGCTGGAGGCATCACATTACCTAACTTTATGCTACAGGACTACTGTAACCAAAACAACATGGTACTTGTACAAAAATAGACACATAGACCAATGGAACAGGATAGAGAACCCATAAATGAGACCACACATCAACAACTATCTGATCTTTGATAAACCTGATAAAAACAAGCATTCAGGAAAGGATTTATTTTTCAGTAAGTGGTGCTAGAATAACTGGTTATCCATATGCAAAAGATTGAAATTGGATCCTTTCCTAACACCATATACAAAAAATCAACTGAAGATAAATTAAAGACTTAAATGTCAAACCTCAAACTATAAAAACTCTGGAAGATAATCTAGGAAATACCATTCTGGGCATAGAAACTGTCAGAGACTTCTTATTTGACTCACGTGTTAATTTGCAGTGCTTTTTTATTCTCCAAATATTTGGCGATGTTTTTAGCTATCTTTATCTTGCTGATTTTTACTTGTTAATATCTTTCATGACTCAACATATACTTTGTCTAGCCGTATGTCCCATGTAAGCTTGAGATGAATGTATATACGACATTTATTGAATGAAAGATTCTATAAATGTCAAATAGATCTAGATACTCAATGGTGGTTTTCTGTAAACTGGATGAAGTTATTAATTAGAAACCTTAACATAACAACCCTAGTAGCTGTACATGTTAGAGACTTCAAAGTTTTTTGTGCTAGTTATTTTTTCTCCCCTCTTTTCTTTGGGTTTCGCTAGATACTCTCTCTTAATTAGAGACTGTGTATTAGGCACTTAATTAGAGATTGTGTATTACAGCTCTTGTAGCTAATTCACTGTTTGTATAGTGAAGTCTTATTGATCTGGTTGTAAGGTGATGGGGAGGGAAGCATTCTGTAATCTTATGATTAAATCCCATTCTTTTAGTGGTTATGAGTCATTGGGCTATGACCTTTGTGAGCATTTCTTAGCTTTTTAAAATCTCGTCTTATGTGAGAAAGGAAGACTAGGGGAGTTTGGAGTTGTTTAACTGACATTTTCCTAAGTCAGAAAGGTCCTATAGTGTAGGCCTTTGTTATGGAGAAGTCTCTAGAGATATTTCAAAATGGTTACTTCCTTCCCAAGTTTATTTCAAAACAGTGACTGTTCATTATTCCTGCCTGAAACAAGATAAATTATTCTCATACTTTCATTGTGAGTACCTACCTGGTGGGGCTACAGGAGGTTAAAATCATGAGAGTTCCGCCACAAGATTGGTACCCCAGGAGTTTTCAATTCTCAAGATTAAGTCCCCTTTTGAAAATATGATTTAATCCTTTATTATTGGATATCTTGGAGGTGCTATCCAATTGAAATTTACATTTTTGCCTCATTTTAATCCAGGGATAAATTGCTAGCAAATTTCCTCTCTAGTTGATTTTAAGAGGGCACACAGCACAGCCACCATAGATATCCATTCCTTCCTTGAGATTGCCAGGGAATAATATAATTTTTTTTTAAATCCTGGCATTCTGAGAATTATCCCTAGGACAGAGTAGCTCATTGTGTAGTAAGTTGTGTTTAATCTCTTTGTGCCAGTGTACTTCACTGTGTTGATGGGTCTGTGTATGCTTAAGAAATGTTTCTGATTCTTGATTTCTTGATCTGATTGTTTTGGAATGAGTATAGCTTAGCACACACTCACAGCCTTCCAAACCCCAGCATGAAGTGTGATTTCAGGAGGGCTCTTGTTGGCAATCTTTCTATAGTTTCCTCTATTTTACCTGTATCATATCCAATGCCTATAGGCGTGCAGTTCTCTATGCTCTTTTCAAATAAATTCAGTCCTGTCAATTCTTATGGCCTGCCTTTACCCTTAGCAGATCTCAGAGCTACTGCACTGGAACTAGCGTGGGGTGGGCAGGGGTGGGGGGCCTGGATTTTCCTGAAGTGATGCCTTCACATTATGAATGATCATGGGGTGTGGTCAAACTGAGAAGACCAGACCATACCTTCAGGTCTTCTCAGTTTGATTCTTTCCAGCATGGAACCACCACCCTATGAACATTCTGAGGCAAGGGCCATTGGAACCTGATTATTCTCAGATTGCTCTATGTAAAGTAGAGCTTCTACTCTATGAGTGGGCTGGTGGGAAGGTAGAGGCAGGGAGGCACCTGGTTGTTTTAGCTATGCTTGCATGAAATAGAACACCTGCAACACAGGGTGACAAGGCATTAGAAATCCTAACAACCTGCCCTACCCAGAGTGAAACCATAGCCCAAGAGTAGACAATGGTGAAGGGAGAGAGCCCCCATCTTCTAGGTCTCACTTGCAGGTTGTAGAATACCCAGGGCAAATTTTCTGTTATAGAGAACCTGGGGGAGCAGTGGGGATGGTAAAGGATTGGGTCATGGCTCAAATGCCACAGACTGTTGCCGTTCTTAGTGAGATTTAGTGCATTTTCTTGATGAAGATTTCTCCATTTGCTGTATCCCTTAGGAAAATTTCTAAAGACTTTAACTGATTGTTAGACAACTGCCTCGATTGCTTTTAATTATGATAAAATATATATAACATAAATCTTACTATCATAACCACTTTTAAGTGTACAGTTCAGTGATATTAAATACAACCAAAATCTTGTGTCACCTTTACCACTATTCATCTTCAGAACTTCCTTCATCTTGTAAAACTGAAACATTATACCCAATAAACAATAATTTTCCATTCCTCTCTTCCCCTAGTCCCTGAAAACAACCATTTTATTTTTATCTCTGTGGTAATTGACTACACTAAGGACCTCACATAAGTAGAATCATATAATATTTATCTTTTTGTAACTGGCCTATTTCACTTAGCATAATGTCCTCAAGGCTCATCCGTGTTGTAACACATGCCAGAATTTCCTTCCTTTTTCAGGCTGCATAGTATTCTACTGCATGTATATACTGCATTGTGCTTATCCCTGCATCCACAAATGAGTGCTTGGGTTGCCTCCAGATTTTAGCTGTTGTGAATAACACTGCTATGAACACGAGTGTGCAAATATCTCCTTGACACTTTCTTTTCAATTTTTTGAATATCGAATATATACCAAGAATAGAATACTGGATAATATAATTCTATTTTTAATTTTTTGAGGAACCACCAAACTGTTCTCCACAGTAGCTGTACCATTTCACATTCCCAACAACAAAGCACAAGGGTGTTGACACTATCTTGTCAACACTTGTTATTTTATAACTTTTTGGTAGTAGCCATGGTAATGGGTATATGATAGTATTTCATTGTAGTTTTGATTTGCATTTTCCAAATGTTTAATGGCATTGAGCATCGTTTCATCTGCTTACTGGCCATTTGTATATCTTCTTTGGATAAATGTATATTAAAATTTTTTGCCCATTTTAATTTTTACTATTTTTCATTTTCTGTGGTAAACAAAAAATGATTTAATAGAAAATAATAACAGATATGAAAAACTAATGAAAATATAAACAAAAATCTAAAAATAAATGCTATTAAAATATACATCAATTATAAGGCACTCTAAATGCAAAATTAAAACAAATAACAAACCAAAAAAAAAAAAAAAAATTACAGCTCTTCCCAGGAATGCTGTTTGCCACAAAATGTTTCTTACTGAGCAGAGTAACATGCGTTTTGCTTTGCCTGTGGTACATATCATAAATGCAAATTTCATAGCAGACACTAGAGACAATGTTTCATTGAATACACCTTTTAAAACAACTTAATTGCTGAAGTATTACAACATTCTTGCCTTCTAAAGGGATATTCACTGACCTTCCCACACTTATCAGATATTTAAAACTTTTTTTCTTTTTTTTTTTTTTTGAGAGGGAGTCTCACTCTGTCACCCAAGCTGGAGTGCAGTGGCGCAATCTCAGCTCGCTGCAACCTCCGCCTTCCGTTTTCAAGCAATTCTCCTGTCTCAGCCTCCCCTCCTGAGTACTTGAGACTACAGGTGCCTGCCAACATGCCTGGCTAATTTTTGTATTTTTAGTAGAGACGGGGTTTCACCTTGTTAGTCAGGCTGGTCTTGAACTCATGACCTCAGGTGATCCATCTGCCTTCACCTCCCAAAGTTCTGGGATTACAGGCATGAGCCACTGCACTCTGCCTAATAATGTTTTGTTGTACTAGAATGTTAGAAATATTGAACTTTGTTGGAAGCCTGGCCAACAAAATAGTATTTGTAAATATGATTGGGTGGCTGTGGGGAGAGGGATTAGGAAATTAGGGGGTGAGGTTTAACAATCACCAATGTGCACTTCTTATTTCCCTTAAAAAAATGAAGTTTCATAATATTAGGAAACACAAATGTGTCATAAAATTAAGAATTGGAGAAAATGTTTACAATAGCTTTTCTACATTTAAAAAATGAAATCATGGAAGAACTGACTGATAGCTGTGCCTATATTTTTTGTGTGGACACTCTATATATACACTGTGGATAAATATGTACATATGTTAGCAGCAACTTTATAATTTGTACCTCCCTATTGATTCCAAAATCAAACCAAAATAAAATTCTTTTTATTTTAAGAGAATGGATACTCTCTTACCAATCAAAACTGTACAGAAGTGAAAAATAATATCTGATCAGACATACTGTAGATTAAATTATTGCATAAAATATGCAAAATTTCAAATTATTTGATATTTCTAGAGCAATATATTACAGATAACAGTTCTACAGCTTAAAATTCTACAATCTGGAAATAAAAAATAAAGAATTATGTAACTTTTTAAAAATTCACTTTATTGAATCATACATTTTGTTGAAAAAAAAGTTTACAAAGTTCAAAATGAAGCACAGCAGACCTTTACAATACTAAAAAAATTAGTTCAGGAACACTCTTTTCAAACATTCCCACAGCCTTTCGCCTAAAATCTTATGAACAGTATGGCGGGAGGGGTGATGTCAAAGCAGAGTCCATTTCATTGTAAGGAGCCACCACACCAGCACACATCTTGCCGCGCTCAGGCAATTTCCCCTCACTCCTATCAAGCAATCCTGAACAAGGTGGTTGTTCATTACTATGATTTCTTCTGTCCTTGATTTTGAATCCTTGAGGTATCAGTAAATAAAAACTCACAGATGCCTTGTCAGTCAGGATTCAAGTTAGGTTATTAAAGTGTGAAATCTTTCTCCACTGGAATGATTTGTTTTAATTTTGTGCATGTGTGTTATAGTCCCACTAAGTAGTTGTTAGTTAAAAGTTAAGAAGGACTTCTCAAGTGTCCTGCACGGTGCAGAAGAGACTCCATGGATATTGAAGGACTATAGTAAAAATCCAGAATGGGTCAGGGATTTCTACATTGTATATTGATCAAAGCTGCCCAGTTTCTCTAGCACAACTCAATAGAAAAACCAATTCTCATTCTCTGTTTGTACCATGGCTGGCCATTGTGTTCTGTATGTTTTGATGGTCTGGAAGATATCTACAACTCTTTCACATCTCATTATTTCCAAAACAATGCTTAATATTATGAAGATTTTACTCCTTCCAAGCTCACATTACAGTGAACTGAACTGGGTCCATCTTGACCACAGTACTCTTTTGTTTTATGCACTTGGCCAATTAAGTCAATAAATCTTTTTCCAGACTTTGGCACTTTTTAATCTGGGCAGTCAGTGAACTGGAGCTGTCTCACTGTTCAGGACTGGCTGTCCTTGGCATCTATGACTTTAAATTCCCTTGTGATAAACTATGGCATGTTGTACTCAGCCACAGGATCTACAACAAAGTACTGGTATCTTGTGGATTATTCTGCTGGCCAGTATTGGTGACATTTTTCTCTGCCCATTTCACACAGCTTGGTGAAATTGTGTTTCCAGAGCATCCACTGGAAGTCCTCAGTGATCTCTTTCAAGGGTCCCTAATGTAAGCTTTCTATTGTCTTTACTCATCAATAAAACTGGCATTAATGTAACCAGATACTTCTACTCCATGGATAGGCTGCAAGTACAACCTTGTGGATTTATATGGTGTAATATTAACAAGGTGATTTTTGAAATTATTGCATGGAAACACAGAGCCAAATCATGAGTGAACTCCCATTCACAATTGCTTCAAAGAGAATACAATACCTAGGAATCCAACTTACAAGGGATGTGAAGGACCTCTTCAAGGAGAACTACAAACCACTGCTCAACAAAATAAAAGAGGATACAAACAAGTGGAAGAACATTCAATGCTCATGGATAGGAAGAATCAATATTGTGAAAATGGCCATACTACTGAAAGTAATTTATAGATTCAATGCCATCCCCATCAAGGTACCAATGACTTTCTTCACAGAATTGGAAAAAACTACTTTAAAGTTCATATGGAACCAAAAAAGAGCCCACATTGCCATGTCAATCCTAAGCCAAAAGAACAAAGCTGGAGGCATCACGCTACCTGACTTCAAACTATACCACAAGGCTACAGTAACCAAAACAGCATGGTACTGGTACCAAAACAGAGATATAGACCAATAGAACAGAGCAGAGCCCTCAGAAATAATGCCACACATCTACAACCATCTGATCTCTGACAAATCTGACAAAAACAAGAAATGGGGAAAGGATTCCCTATTTAATAAATGGTGCTGGGAAAACTGGCCAGTCGTATGTAGAAAGCTGAAGCTGATCCCTTCCTTACACCTTATATAAAAATTAATTCAAGATGGATTAAAGACTTAAATGTTAGACCTAAAACCATAAAAACCCTAGAAGAAAACCTAGGCAATACCCTTCAGGACACAGGCATGGGCAAGGACTTCATGTCTAAAACACCAAAAACAATGGCAACAAAAGCCAAAATTGACAAATGGGATCTAATTAAACTAAAGAGCTTCTGCACAGCAAAAGAAACTACCATCAGAGTGAACAGGCAACCTACAAAATGGGAGAAAATTTTCGCAACCTACTCATCTGACAAAGGGCTCATATCCAGAATCTACAATGAACTCAAACAAATTTACAAGAAAAAAACAAACCCATCAACAAGTGGGCAAAGGATACGAACAGACACTGCTCAAAAGAAGACATTTATGCAGCCAAAATACACACGAAAAAATGCCCATCATCACTGGCCATCAGAGAAATTCAGATCAAAACCACAATGAGATACCATCTCACACCAGTTAGAATGGCGATCATTAAAAAGTCAGGAAACAACAGGTGCTGGAGAGGATGTGAAGAAATAGGAACACTTTTACACTGTTGGTGGGACTGTAAACTAGTTCAACCATTGTGGAAGACAGTGTGGTGATTCCTCAGGGATCTAGAACTAGAAATACCATTTGACCCAGCCATCCCATTACTGGGTATATACCCAAAGGATTATAAGTCATGCTGCCATAGAGACACATGCACACGTATGTTTATTGCAGCACTATTCACAATAGCAAAGACTTGGAACCAACCCAAATGTCCAACAACGATAGACTGGATTAAGAAAATGTGGCACATATACACCATGGAATACTATGCAGCCATAAAAAAGGATGAGTTCATGTCCTTTGTAGGGACATGGATGAAGCTGGAAACCATCATTCTCAGTAAACTATTGCAAGGACAAAAAGCCAAACACCACATGTTCTCACTCTTAGGTGGGAATTGAACAACAAGAACACATGGACACAGGAAGAGGAACATCACACACCGGGGCCTGTTGTGGGGTTGGGGGAGGAGGGAGGGATAGCATTAGGAGATATACCTAATGTAAATGACAAGTTAATGGGTGCAGCACACCAACGTGGCACATGTATACATATGTAACAAACCTGCATGTTGTACACATGTACCCTAGAACTTAAAGTGTAATAAAATATATATATATAAAAAGAAATTATTGCATGGAAGATTGGCACTGAGGAAACCTGAGATGTGAGCTTTTGAGCTGATTAGATGCTTAAATTTGAGCACCACTCCTATGACATTCTGTCCCCTCTCTATTTGTGTCAGTTTCTAATATAGGCATACAAGTTTCTAGCTGGAACTTTGGTATTTACACAAGTAACTGCCTCTAACAGTGCATCATGGACAGAGATACACTGGTCTCCTGCTTGAACCATGTAATTCCTCTGGGTTCTCATTAAAGTTGCATAGGCATAATTACCTACAGTTTTTTCATGCTTGATTCTTTCCAACATGGCATCTATGACAATGAAACAACCAGTCCAGCCAACTCCTTCAGATTCGGTAGGCTGTGCAAGCATGGCAGCTGCATCTGCTTGTCTTCTGGTGTGGCCTCAGGAAGCTTTTATGCAAGGTGGAAGGTAAAGGGGGAGTGAGTGTGTCACATAGTGAGAAAGGAAGCAGAAGAGCCTTTGCCAATTTTTAAATCAAGTTGCTGTTGGGATTGTTTGGTTGTTGAGTTTTAGTTCTCTGTATATTGATGATAGTAAGCCTTTATAAGTTACGTGATTTGAAAATATTTTCTCTTATCCTATGGTTTGCATTTATCACACTTGGCTGGCAATGTCTTGATTCACAAATTTATTATTATTTTTTTTTTTTAGAGATGGAAATCTCCCTATTTTGCCCAGGCTGGACTTGAACTACACTCAAGCGATCCTCCTGTCTTAGCCTTCTGGGTAATTGGGACTACAGATGCACACCATCGCATTCTAATTTTAAATCTTTATCGACTCCTGTGTGTCTATTTTTGTCTTTTTCTGTGCTTTTGGTGTCATATCCAAGAAAGCACTGCCAAATCAATGTCATGAAGCTTTTCCTTATGTTTCTTACAAGAGTGTTAGAGTTTTAGTTTACCTTTAGGTTTTTGGTATATTTAGAATTAATTTTTGTATAAAGGGTCCAACTTAATTCTTTTACATGTGGATATCCAGTTTTCCCTGCACCATTTGTAGAAAAGATAGTCCTTTCCCCATTGAATGGTTTTGGTACCCTAGTCAAAAATCATTTGACCATATATGTGAGGGTCTATTTCTGGGCACTCTATTCTATCCCACTGGTCATATGTCCTTCTTCATGCTAGTACTTCATGGTTTGATTATTGTAGCTTTGTAGCAAGTTTTCAAAATCAGGGAGTGTGTGTCTTTCAGGTTTGCCCTTTTTCAAGATTACTTTGACCATTCAGTGTCCCTTGAAATTCTATATAAATGTTAGGGTGGATTTTTTTATTTCTGAAAAGTACATCACTGGGATTTTGATAGATATTGCATTGAGTTTGTAGCTCACTTTGGGTAGTATTAACATCTTAATACTATTAATCCTTCCAATTCATGAATATAGAATGTCTTTCCAATTATTTATGTCCTCTTTAATTTCTTTAAGCAATATTTTGTAGTTTTTATTATACAAGTTTTTAACCTTCTTGACTAATTCCTAAGTATTTTATTCTTTTTGATGCTATTGTAAATGCAATATTTTTTAGTTTCCTTTTCAGATTGTTCAGTTAGTCTATGAAAATGTAACTGATTTTTGTGTGCTACCTTTATAGCCTCCTGCTTTGTTGAATTTATTATTTCCACATTTTTTGTAGAATTGTTAAGGTTTTCAATATATATGATTGTGTCATCTGCAGAGATAATATTACCTCTTCCTTTTCCATTCATACGTGTTGCATTTCTTTCGCTTGACTCATTCATCTGGCTAGAAATTCTAATATTATATTGAAGAGAAGTACCACAATTAGCAACCCTTGCCTTGTTCTTGAAATTAAAGCTTTTAATTTTTCATAATTGAGTATGATATTCACTGCAGGTTTTCATATATGGCTTTTATTATGTTGAGTGGTTTCCCTCTATTCTTAGTTTGTTGAGTGTTTTATCATGAAAGTGTATTAAATTTTGTCAAATGCTTCTCTTTGCATCAATTGGGATGATAATGTGTGCTTTTTTTAGTACTTTCTTTCTGTTAATGTGGTGCCTTGCATGGATTGGTTTTTGCATGTTGAATCATCTTTCCCTTCCAGAAATAAACCCCATTTAGTCATAATGCATAATGCTTTTAATATGTCACTAAATTTAATTTGCTAGTGTTTTGTTTCAGATTGCTATATCAATGTTTATTAGAAATTTTGGTCTGTAGTTTTTTTCTTATGATATTTTTGTCTGATTTTAGTATCAAGGTGATACTAGCCTCATAGAAGAATTAGAACATTTTCTCTTCTATTCTATTTTTTGCATAATTTGAGAAAGATTTGTGTTAATCCTTTGAGTCTTCTTTAAATGTTGGTAGAATCCTCCAGTGAAGCCATCAATCAGGTCCTGGGATTTTCTTTGTTGGGAGATGTCTGAGTACTGATTTAATCTCCTTACCAATAGTTATAAATCTACTTAGGTTTTCTATTTCTTCAAAATTTAGTCTTGGCAGGCTTAATGTTTTTTGCAATTTGTCCATTTCACCTAGATTAGCCAATTCGTTAGTGTACAATTTTGAATGTTTAATTTTAATTTCTCTGGAATCACTAGTAATGTTCTAATTCCTGAATTTAGTGATTTGAGTCTTCTGTCTTTTTTTTATAGCTGTTCTATTCGAAGTTTTGTCAATTATTTTGATCATTTCAAATAATCAACTTTTGGTTTCCCTAAATTTCTCTATTGTTTTTCTATTCAGGGCTTCATTTTTCTCTGCTATAGTCTATTATTTCCTTTCTTCTGCTAGAGTTGGCTTTAAGTTGTTCTTTTTTTCTGGTTCCTTAAGTTGCTAAGTTAGGTAGTTGATTTCTTATCTTTGTTGATTTGAAACATGTTTATAGCTATATATTTTTCCAATTAGCACTACTTTCACTGTGTCCCATAAGCATTGGCATATTGTGTTTTTGTTTTAATTTATTTCTAATTATTTTCTAACTTTTGCTTGTTATTTTTTCTTTGATCCACTGGCTGATTTGGAGTTTGTTTTTTAAGTTCCACAAATGTGTTCATTTTCCCATTTTCTTTGTGTTATTGACTTCCAACTTCATCTCATTGTGTACAGAGAAGATACTTTGTACAACATCTATATTTTATATCTATTAAGACTTAATTTGTGGCCTAACATGGTCGGCCTGGAAAATGTCTCATCGGCACTTGAGAAGTATATGCATGTAGTTGTTGCTGAGTTAAGTGTTCTGTGCATGTCTGTTAGATCTAGTTGGTTTATTGTGTTAAGTCCTCTGTTTCTTTACATATATTCTGTCTTGTTTTTCTATGGATAATAGAGAATGAGATATTGAAGGCTCAAACTATTACTGAGTAACTTTTTATTTCTTACTTCAACTTTGTCAGGTTTTGCTTTATATATATTTATAGTCTGTTATTAGGTATGAAAATATTTATAATTTCCATATCTTTTTGCTATATTGAAACTTAAAAAAATTAATTATATTTTAATTTCTGGGTTACACGTGCAGAACATGCAGTTTTGTTACATAGTATACATGTGCCATGGTGGTTTGATGCACCCATCAACCAGTCATCTACATTAGGTATTTCTCTTAGTGCTATCCCTCCCCTAGCTCCCCATCCCCCGACAGGCCACAGTGTGTGATGTTCCCCTCTCTGTGTCCATGTGTTCTCACTGCTCAATTCCCACTTATGGGTGAGAACATGTGGTGTTTGGTTTTCTGTTCTTGTGTTAGTTTGCTGAGAATGATGGTTCATCCATGTCCCTGCAAAGGACATGAACTCATCCTTTTTAATGACTGCATAGTATTCCATGGTGTATGTGTGCCACATTTTCTTTAACTAGTCTAACATTGATGGGCATTTGGGTTGGTTCCAAGTCTTTGCTATTGTGAAGAGTGCTGCAATAAACATACGTGTACATGTGTCTTTATAGTAGAATTATTTATAATCCTTTGGGTATATATCCAGTAATGGGATTGCTGGGTCATAAAAATAATGACCAAAAGAGAGCAGAGGTGGCTATGCAAAATCAGACAAAATAGACTATAAATCAGAAAAGTTGGCAAGAACAAAGATATTATATATTAATAAAAGTTTCTGGTCAGAAACACTAAGATCTTGGAGAGAAAGAAAATGCACTTAGGTACATTTTTACCACAGTTTTTCTGCACAGGAAACTTACAAATAAAAACAAAAATAAAGAGATGCTGAAGGAAAAGTAGCAGCTTGAACATATGTTCAAGCCACTGGGCTCGGAGCAAAGAAAACAAAAATAAAACAAGCAAAGTCACTGGGCTCGGAGAAAAGAAAACAAAAATAAAAACCAACAAGGAAGCTACCAAGGAAGATAGCATTTAATGGGGACAAGATCCTGAAGAAAAAAGTTGTATGTGCATGAAGTGATATGTAAGAAACTAAACAAAAATCATATACTAAAACAGCTAAATAGAAAAAAGTTTATAGAATATGAAGAAAAAGTATTTTATACAGCTGTACAATGTATTTGTCTTACTTTAAGTGTTCTTCCAAAAGAGTCAAAGAGTTAAAAATAAGTTTATAAAGTAAAAAAAGTAATAAGGAGCTAAGGTTAATATATTATTGAAAAAAAGAGTTTTTTAAATGAATCTGGTGTAGCCTAAGTGTGCAGTGCTTCTAAAGTCCACAGGAGTGTACATAATGTCCCAGGTCTTCACATTCACTCACTACTCATTCATTGACTCACCCAGAGCAGCTCCTAGTCCTGCAAGCTCTATTCATAATAAGTGAATTATAGATGTACCACTTTTAACCTATTTTAATATTTTTACTTTTCTATGTATAGATACACAAATATTTATTATTGTGTTACAATTTCCTATAGTATTTAGTACAGTAACATAATATACATGTTCATAACCCAAGGAGCAATAGATGACAATATCATATACCCTAGGTGTCTAGTAGGCTGTATCATCTAGATTTGTCTAAGTACACTCTATAATGTTCAGATAACACTGAAATGGCCTAATGAAGCATTCCTCAGAATGTATCCCTGTACTTAAGTGACACAGGACTGTATATGATCAAATGTGTTATATTTTTAATGTATTGAATACCACAGAATCTTTAGCACATTCTACCAGATTAACTCATTTCTGTGCATATGTGAATAAAACTTTTCTTTCCATCTGTGTGTACATGAGGGGTATACTGAATTGGCATGAGGAGTAGTTAAATTACTACAAACCTTTGCAAATAATTACTGAATGAATTGGATTTAAAAAATATTATGCAACTAAAATATATGATAGATACTGAATTATAGTAAATACAATAGAGACTGAATTGGGACTTTATAATACAAAACCAAAAAAATAGTGATTGTGTCATTGTTATTAATTTTATAAAGTTTCATAAGTTTATATTTATAAAACAAATTCATACTAATATAGTATCACTTTTGTTAATTTTATATATACTGTGGTTTCATGTGTTTATTAGCAAAAATCAAGTTGCTTCTATAAAAGTTATAAAACTACTGAAGAAAAACTATAAGAACATTTATGGAAGAGTTTGTACCTGCAGTGCCTAAAGAGTGCTCGATGATGCCTATTTGATGATTAAATGGATAGGCTAACTTACGTGGCTAATAAGCATGTATATATAAGCCTATATTTGATGGTCTTAAATTTCTTGAGGAATAATACTTTTCATATTCCATATATGAAAATAATCGACTTTTAAAAATCCTACACATCTTCTTAGTTATAAAGCCAAATGACCAAATGGTTTCCATAAATGTGTATAAAATATAAGCTCTGTTTCAGCTACCATTGTGGCACAGGTGTGAACCTAACATCTGCTTCAAATTAGGGTGATCTTTTTAAGAGCTGAATTGGAATGCTGCAGAATTCCATTAGAGACTACGTGAAAATGTGGACAGGAATAGCTAAAAACACTACAACTACTGAATCAGCCAAATCCTCCGAAGTTGACATTGCTACATCCTGGAATGTAAAAATAAAAACAAGGATGCAACTGGAAAAATACATTTGAAGGTGCAAAGCATGCACTTGGTTGAACACTTATACCAAGGATGGAGGAAGTAAAATGCAGCTGCACAGAACTGAAAATATTTTCTGGAAAGTAATGCTGACAGGTGATATGCTTTTAAAGAATGGCTTCTTACTAGCCATGCAAAAATATGCAAAAGTTGTTTTCACCCAGCATGTTCTGGGTCTACAAGACATTCTGCAAATGTACTGAGGTCTGTTACCAAAAAAGGAAGACGAACAAAAATAAATATTTTAATATTTCTAATATTTCTCCTGGTAGAAGCCCTGAAGTGATATAAAGTGCCTGCATTATAATGAAAATGAACTTGAGCAAACCTTGCATTTGGATGTGGATTTTTCCTATGGATCAGGATTTTTGAGTACCTGGAAGAGAAAAGGAGCATTATTTGTTATAATACTTTAACAACTATTTCAGTACTGCTTGTTAGACAATTTTTAGGAAGACTACACATAACTTTTTAGGAGATATGTGGAAAAAACAGATGTTGACCAGTATTACTGTGGTACATAGGTGGAATGCAATTGCTCTTTGATACAAAGCTCTACAAAAAAAAAAAAAAAAGGTTTTTTTAAATTATAGATTTTCCTAGTTAACCTGTAACTGTGTTTTTTTTCTTAGAGAGATAAAGTGATGGAAAAGAAGGATGAATAGTCTGCCCAGGACTCATAATGTTGGTATTTCTTTTTTATAGTTAATTCACAAAGGTGGTTATCACTGGTAACTCTTTGTGGAAAATTCTCCATTCTTTTTTCTTTAGAAGTAAAAAGGGACTGTTTCATATTTTATCCAAATTACAACCAAATTGGTGAGGAAAATGTGAGTCAAAGTATTTTCTAAGTCATAAATATTTTTGAATGTTTTTGCTACTAAAGTTTCACTATAACAAATCTCAAAGAAATAAAATATACTAATAGGACATTTATGCTCTTCAAGGAAGTTCTGATGGGAGCATTTAAGTCTGGCCCCAACCTGGGGACTACCTGCTTACTTATTGTCCCCGAGGTTATAGTCATACCCTGAGGTCAGTGGCTTCAATCTTTCTGTAGTTGCTGGTCAGCTGTGGGACAGAACTGAATCCACCTCACATTCTATGTTGGGTACAGCTGAAATTTAGTGAGTTCAGCTGGGCACAAAGCTGAGTAATTTTCAAATAGAATAAAGCAAAGCTGTAATCTATATCTTTTTCTTAAACACCCTCTGTACCTACCCATTAGTAATAAATTTGGCTGGGTGGTTAGAGTTTGGGATGTAGAAGTGACTCTAATATTTAAGAGATGAGTCTGCTAGTTTACTCTTTTTTAAAATAATTTTTGAATTTTGAAACTTAATTTCTAAATAACACTCTCTAAAGAATCTAGATCAAAAATTGTTATTTCATCAGGAGCATTAACTAAATAAACACTGTTAATAATAGCATTGAAAATTATTACACACCTATTGGCTCAAGCTTATGGCTTTTGGTAGAAGAAATAGCAGACCATAATTCAGATTTCATTCATTCATTCCCATCAAGAGGAAAGGGTTTGCCGATCTAAATTTGAGCAGGTTGGTGAAGTATGCATATGTCTTTACAAACTTATTTCATAGTTTCATTTAACAAATCTTCAGGTTCAATTTCACCCTCAATACATGCCTTATAGAGATAGATATCACAATTATTAGATGAATTTATGATTTTAGGGTTTGCATCATACCCATATATTCACAAGTTTATAAATTCTGTTTTTAAAACCATCAGATCTTGTGAGACTTACTATCATGAGAACAGCACAAGAAAGACCTGCCGCCATGATTCAGTTACCTCCCACCGGGTCCCTCCCACAACATGTGGGAATTCAAGATGAGATTTCGGTGGGGACACAGCCAAACTATATCAAGAGTTTAACTGACAACTGCAATCATCCCAGACACCTGACCCCACTTGCCTGTACCTTTCCTCGGAGGTCCAATAAAAATGCCTGAAGCTCAGTGTTCCATTTAGGGTTCCACTTTCTCACCAGGATGTCTGTACAAGAGATGCATAGTCTTACGGGAGAGTAAAGTATATATCTTTAAACAATTTGTTTACTATGATATTCTACTAAGTGCATTTATTATCTTGCTTTCTCTCCTACCAGCAAAGGAAAAAAAATCATCTTAAGTAAATTTTTATAGATGATACTATCCCAAATTCTTCAACAAATGTTTTCCTGTATAATTTTTAAAAGGTTTGTTAAATGATAATGCCTTACTGATAGATTGTTGTATAGAAACTTTACTGGAAGGGATTCAGGAATACTGAAGAATGGAAGAAATCACAGAGAAGTCCAGCTTCTGATTCACCTTTGTGGGTGATATGGTTAGGCTTTCATCTTGAACTGTAATCCCCATGTATCAAGGAAGGAACCTGATGGGAGGTGATTGGATCCTGGGGGTGGTTCCCCTATGCTGTTCTCTTGATAGTGAGTTCTCAGGAGAACTGATGGTTTTAAAAGTGGCTCTTCCTTCTTCACTCTGTCTCTCTCCTGCCACTATTTAAGATGTGACTTGCTTCCCCTTAGCCTTCTGCCATGATTGGAAGTTTCCTGAAGCCTCCCAGCCATGCGGAACTGTGAGTCAATTAAACCTCTTGATGTGGTTTGGCTGTGTCCCCACCGAAATCTCATCTTGAATTCCCACGTGTTGTGGGAGGGACGCGGTGGGAGGGTCTTTCCTATGCTGTTCCTAAGCTCACAAAATCTGATGGCTTTATAAACAGGAGTTTGCCTGCACAAGCTCTTTTTTTCTTTCTGGCCGCTGTCCACGTAAGATGTGACTTGCTCCTCTTTGCCTTCTGCCATGATTGTGAAGCTTCCTAAGCCACGTGGAACTGTGAGTTCTCCATTAAACTTCTTTCCTTTGTAAAGTGCCTAGTCTGGGTTATGTCTTTATCAGCAGCGTGAAAACGGACAAATACACCTCTTTTCTTTATAAATTGCCCAGTCTCAGGTAGTATCTTTGTAGCAGTGTGAGAACAGACTAATACAGTGGGCATGTTCTGCTCCATACAATCTGACACTTGATTATAAAGTAATTGTTCGCTGTACGTTCTTTTATCTCAGAATAACCTGTTTTCTAATTAGTGCTTTATAGAGTGTTATAAAGTGTTATAAAGTGTTACAGAGTGTTACTTTAGCCTTTGCTTGCTGCAAAAGAAAAATTGGGCCAGAAATTGGCTATATATCTATCGGATCTCCCTCCCTCCCTTTCTATCTCCCTTTCTCTCTCTGACGAATCTAATCTGTGAACGATGGCATTTGAAAGCAAAGCAAAATGCAAAATACGCAAAAATAAAAGTTCTCTGGTGTTAGAAGACAGAAGAATCTTTTGAAAATTTAATTAAAAATTAAATTACCAGGCCTCTTCCTTAGAAATTCTGATGTGGTAAGTCTGAGCTGGTATCCAGGAATTTCCACTAAATAAGCTTCCTTGTAATTCCATTGCAGGTGATTCTTCTACTCATGTTAAAAACACTGGCTTAGGGAATCTGTATTAGGGATTATTCTGGTTGGCAGAATTTACCTATTTTCTAGCTATTCTACTGATATTTCCAGAACTGGTGGTCTATGATAAAGCATTTGAAACTTAAGTATTCGATTCTGGCTATTTGAAACTCACATTTTTCCCAGAAGGGCATTATTGTCCTATTATGAACCCAACAGCCATTCCTGCTTTCCTTTTTATTGACTTTTGCTTGACCTACTCAGAAATAACTATTATTTGGGTCCAGCGAGGCCCCAGGCTGTTACATATTTAGCACTTCTTTCTCCAACTCTAAGCCATCCAGCTTGGCTTAGCTATATAAAAAGCTCTTTCTCACAGCGGTGTTTCTGCCTGGTTGTTTATTTAGTGCATATCAGTTCACTGTTGCTTGCTGAATTGTTTCTTTTTGCTTGGCAGAGATGTTAAGTTCCCTGCTCCTATTGCTACATATTATCTGCAGCTTTCAGCCAAAATTATTAAGCAGATTTTGTTTAGTGAAGCTACATTTATTTAAAACAATTTTCTTTACCTGCAATCATTTGACTTTTTCATGATGTTCCTGCCTGATTTGCTTGAGATTTTTAATGATAATTCACCAAATAGTATACGGGAAGGTGGTTTATAAAATCATGTAGGTATTTGAATGGTTCAAAGGATTTTACTGTTCCTTCCACCCCAACATGTACCTCTTTTCATTGTAATTTGCTTGTGTGTGTGTGTGTGTGTGTGCGTGTGTGTTTTCATCCCTTCTCAGTTCTTGAAAAAGAAGTTGTGCCACATAATTAGTGGCCATTTAAGTCAGAGGTAATTTTTGGTTTACAGTAGCCATATGTCCTGATGGCACAGTTATTTCAAATACATTATTCAATTTTCTTCATGAATGTATTCATAGTTAATATGAGCGAGTCCTGAATTACGGGTGAGGGTTTATTTTCACCATTGCTCAATTTCAACAATTTGTGTTAATTCTACCTTCTAAACATCTCATGTATTCTCTCCTTTCCGTCCCAGTTGTCACTGCCTTAGTAAGCTGTCACTGTATTCTGCGGTGGACCATTAGGGGCCTGAACCTGAACTTCTATTTGCCCTCTGGATTACTCTGTTTAAATTCTTCCACTACACTTGAGTGATCCTGGACAATCTGCCTTCTCATGCCTCTGTGTCAGTGGTCCCCAACCTTTTTGGCACCAGTGACTGGGTTTGTAGAAGACAATTTTTCCATAGACTGGGGTGGGGGGAAATTGTTTCAGGATGATTCAAGTGCATTACATTTGTTGAGCACTTTATTTCTATTACATTGTAATATATAGTGAAATAATTATGCAATTCACCGTGAAGTAGAATCAGTGGGAGCCCTGAACTTGTTTTCCTGCAATCAGATGGTCACATCCGGGGGTGATGGGAGATAGTGACAGATCATCAGGCACTAGATTCTCATAAGGAGCTCGCAACCTAGCTCCCTCACATGTGCACTTCAAATAGGGTTTGTATTTGCTCTTAATAGAATCCAGTGCTGCTGCTGATCTGACAGGAGTTAGAGCTCAGGAGGTAATGCCAGTGATGGAGAGTGGCTGTAAATATAGATGAAGCTTTGTCCACTTGCTAGCCGCTCACCTCCTGATGTGAAGCCCAGTTCTCAACAGGCCTCAGACTGATACCCGTCTGTGGCCCAGGGGTTGGAGCCCCTACTGTATGTGTTTGCCTGTGACCTTCCCTGGCCTGAAGTTCACAGCCCAGCTGACCCACTGGCAATTCCTAAGCATTATTTAAGAAAGTTAGTGTAAAACTCTTCTCAGTAGCTTCAAAACTCCTCTCTGTCTCAAGTGGGCCACTTGAGTCCTTGTTCTCATCTATCTCCTGTGTCCTCTTTTGTTGCAGAAGTTGTGACGTGTCATGGAAAATATTGTTTTCTTCATCTGTTTCTTTGGAAAATTGATGTCATTTTGCTCATTAAAAATCTTTTGCCTAGCCAAGTATCTTGCAGGAAATAGATGTTGATTTAAGAAATAAGTATTTACATGTGATAAAGAAGAAAGAATATAATAAATTGACGTTTGTGTTCATTGGCCTCCATTATTTTTAATGTAAGCCCTATTTCACTTGCCAAATTTTTGAGTCTGCAGGAAAGTTATTTCCCTGTCTGTTATAAAGATTTTATGTTTTTATGTCCTTGTTGAAGAGTTGAGCTCCAATTTTTTTTTAAGAGACAGAGATTGTCGGGTGTAGTGGCTCACGCCTGTAATCCCAGCCCTTTGGGAGGCTGAGGCAGGCAGATCACCAGGTCAGGAGATGGAGATCATACTGCCCAACATGGTGAAAACCTGTCTCTATTCAAATACAAAAAATTAGCTGGGCATGGTGGCACATGTCTGTAGTCCCAGCTACTCTCAGGAGACTAAGGCAGGGGAATTGCTTGAATCTGGGAGGGGGAGGTTGCACTGAGCCAAGATCATGCCACTGCACTCTAGCCTGGCGACAGAGTAAGACTCCATCTCAAAAAAAAAAAAAAAAAAAAAAAAAAAAAGAGAGAGACAGGGTCTCACTGCATCATCCAGTCTGTAGTGCAGTGGTGTGATCATAGTTCACTTTAACCTCAAATTTCTGGGCTCAAGCAATCCTCCCACCTCAGCCTCTCAAATAGCTAAGACTACAGGTGTGCACTACCACACCTGACTAATATTCTCTGTTGACCTCTGTTGTTGTTGCTTCAGGTGGCAGTTTAAATATAATCTAAGAAATGAAACTTGACCTCAACTCACTACAAACCTCACCTACATGACGGTTATACCCATGGGAGAACGTCACGTATATGTTTATCTCTGTTCCCATGTGAAAATGACAGTTTTGAGTCTCTTTAATCTAGTTTTTATCCTGGTAATTCCCAGAATATCAGGACATTGTTTAATTTTTATATTCCTACTACAAGATAACACATTGTTCTGTCTAGATCTTTTCCTGCCTGTTCCCTCCAAAGCTACTCTCCGTGCTGCCAAACTCAAGGGTTTAGTTCAGATCTCAGCTGAAACTTCAAGAAAGGTTTTCATGATTGTCTAAGGCAAAGTCCAGTGATTGTCACTTACCTCCCTAAGCCCTGCTTTCACTCCTATGAGAGCATTTATTACTTTGCAATATGACAACATATTCACATCTCTGTAGTTAAATGTTAAACTATTAAATTGCAAACAGAGATTATCTCCTTCACTGTTAAACCCATGTACTTAAAGAGGTGTCTGTATAATAAATATTTATTACATAAATACAACTTTTTGTGTTAGAACTGACATTACCGTTGATCCTTGAATAACATGAGTTTGTACTGTGTTTGTACACTTTTACCTTGATATTTTGCAATAAACATATTGAAAAATTATTTGGAAATTTGTGAAAATTTGAAAAAAACTCACAGATGAATCCTGTAGCCTAGAGATTCAAAAAAAAAAAAAAAAAAACAAAGGAAAACTTAGTTGTGCTGTCAATTCATAAAATAGATGTAGATACTAGTTTATTTTAGCATTTACTATCATAAAAATACACAAGTCTATTATGAAAATTTAAAATTTATCAAAACTTATACAAACACCTACAGACATGGTGCTATTTGCAGTTGAGAGAAATGTAAAGAAATATAAAGATGCGGTATTAAATCATGACTGAGTGCAATTTACTGCAGTACACACCATACTACTGTAATAATTTCATAGCTATCTCCTGTTGCTATTGTGGTGATCTCAAGTATTGCAAGGATCTGCTTACATGCCATGTGACAATAATTATCTCTTTTTGTGCAGTTCTTCTCTCCAGTTAATTGTGTGTCTCAGTAAAATTGATCTCTCCAAGTTCTTGCATATTTTTCATTGTGTTTACTGTAATACTTTAAATAACACCATGGGACCCACATAAAGTGTCACTAGTGTTTCTGGGAGTGCTCCCAAGAAGCAGAGAAAAGTCGTGACATTACAATAAAAAGTTCAATTACTTGATATGTATCATAGATTGAGGTTTGCAGCTGCAGTGGCCACCATTTCAAACAGATTATTTATCTTGTAAACAGATGACATAAACTTACAGCATCAATGAATAAAGTGTAGTTCTGTACATTTATTTTTCTTCCTTATGATTTTCTAACATGTTCTTTATTGTAGGAATACAGTATATAATACATATGACATAGAAAATGTGTTCATCAACTGTTTGTTATTGGTGAGGTTTCCAGTCCACAGCAGACTAATAGTAATTACATTTTGGGGGTGTTAAAAGTTACATGAGGATTTTTTATGGCAGGGGCTGGAAACCCCAACCCCTTCATTGTTCAAGGGTTGGTTGTAATCGTTTTGAAAATGAAAAGTACATTCTTTGAAATGACCATATAGAAAGATCCAAGCTGGAACCTGCAAAACAAAGGTTGGAATTGGAATTTTATGATTCAATATAGGCTTTCTGATGATTAAGAAAATTTAATCTATGTTATCTTCTTACATGTCTTATGACAAATGAAAAGTAGCATATATTGTTTTTATGCTAGGAAGCTTTAAAAGTGTTATTGTTTGGCTCCGTTTGAGATCTTTTGAGTTGCCCCTTTAAAAGTAGCTGACTTAGAAAGTGCTCAGGTAATGTCAGTGTCAGTTTTCTGATGAGCTACCAAGTGCTGATGTGCTCCTGAGTGAGGGCACAACCGTGTTTGAGTGAGAGTCTCAGCTGAGTGGACAGGTGGCCATTTGGCTGGGTGACAGTAGGGCTGTCTCTACAGAAAAATTCACAAGTAAAGCTGATGACAGAAGTAGAAATGAATCCTTTATTGGTGTGAGGTAGGTAGATTCAATCACAGTTAATTAAGGATGACAGAAAGGACATAAACTGAATTACAGTCTAATGAAGCACTTGGCCTTATTTGCTGTGTGACAGACATTCTGGCTATTGGCTCTCTTTTACTTTGAGGACATTTGGATTTTCTCTTTTAGACACACATGATCATGTGCAGAATAGCAGAGTCTGAGTGCAGACTAATCCCATGACAACCTTGGATATTGTGATTGTTGTTCCCTATGCCCCAAGAGCTCTGCTTCCCACTTAGACATGGAAGAACCAGTATAGGTACCTGGAGAATTTTGCTTAATGACCTGCAAGTTGCTCAGTGATCTGAAGGTTTGTGTCTGAAATTATGGAGGCATAACTCTCTCCTTTTTGAATCAATGAATATATGCATCTGTTTGACTAATTAGTACTCCAAGAAATCTAAGCTCTCATGTTACAGTATATGCCTTTTATTTTTTCTAATAACCTTGTCACTTGAATTCTTTTCATAAATGATATTTAGAAGATACACTCATGAAAATGACAGTATACTCCATGCCAAGTCTTATTGTGATTGTCATTCCTGATGTTTAATAAACTCACATTTATGTATAGCCCATCCATCTCTTCCCCTTTCCAGGACACAGTGTTGTTTTCATTTTACCCAGGCACTTTTCCTTTTAATGTTCACTGCATTGTCAAACATACCTTATCTGAAGTAAATGATGTTACTGGCTGTCCTGGGGGAACACAGTAAATATCCGTAGGTAAATAAAAGCTCTGGTAACTTCTGCAATGTCAACTTTATCTCTGTCACCATTATGGTGATGGAAAGCATGCGAAGCCTGCTGGTCCATTTCATCTCCCTGACTACATCTCTTGCAGTTGGGGGAATGTGACTGATGTGCAGCTACACAAGAGTTTTAATTAATTTGAAATACTACAGCAGCAAGTAAAGATAAAGTTTCAATACTCAGATGTATCTAGAGGCCTAGTATCATTAGCAACTTCGTCAATATTCATTCATCTATTTATTCATTTATGGGAGTCTCATGCATAACTAGAAGATTTGAGCTGTTTAGAGAGATCAGCCAATCTTCCCATGGGGAAAGAACACTTGTTCTAATATATTAATGATCAGTAGAAATTAAGTTATGCAAGAAGAAAGAGAGAAGCCTTCCAAGTAGTGACTATATAAAAGTTATTTTAGTATGAAAAAATCTGTTGAGTACAAAGAATAGCAAGAAGGTTTGTGTGGCTAGAGTGAAAAGACTAAGAAGGATAGAGTATGGTTTGAGATGATGTTGGGGAAGTATGTGGAAACCATATCATGCTAAATATTGTCACCCATGTTAGAAGTTTTTGTCTTTATCATTAAAACTATGAGAAACCTCTGAAAGTTTTAAGAAGTGTGACTATGTATTGTTTGTGGTACAGATATCTTTCTGAGTGTGTCTATGGGGTATCTAACTGTGGCATGTAGCTGTGATTCTCTGGGTGCATGTGTTTGGATGAGTGGCATAAGCAAATTTTATTAACCTATTCAATAAGTATTTTGAGCACCTGTTCCGGGTACTCTTCTAGTTCTTGAAATGAGACCTGTAGATAAGATACACAAGATTTTTGATTTCATGGGAACATTCTTCTGGGAAAACACAAGATTTAAAATACCCAAAGTCAAATAATGAAATAATATAATTTTGTGTAACGATATGTGCCATGAAGAAGATTAAGTAAAGTAAGAATATAGAGGATGAGATGTGACAGTGATTAGGGGAAACCAAAGTGAGGGAGTGAGTTATGAGAAGATGTAGGGAAGAGCATTCCAGACTGTGATGAGTAAGCGAAAGTCTTAAGGGGGGTATGAGCTTAGCGTGTTTGAGGAGCAACAAGAAGACTATGAAAGAGGCACCAGGCTAGGACATGAGTTGAGATGAGTTCAGAAAGGTAGTTAGGGTTTAGATTTAAAGACCTCACATGGCATATTTATTAGTGCCTTCCCACTGTGAAGTATGGCTAAAAGATTATAGAGAACAAGGGAGGATATAATGATAGATGCAGAGAGTGACAAGTCTTTTGCAATAGATTTGGTAAGATAGAGTAGTAGTTTGTGGAGGAGGATCAGATTCTGGATACGTTTTGAAGGCAGAGCCAACAAGACTTACTGATGGATTAGATATAGACGGTAGTTGGAGAGATCATGGACAGAAAAACTAATTTTGTTTTGGGCCTGTGCAACTGGGTAAATGGTGATAGCACATACTGAGATGGAGAAGATCAGGGGGAGAATGGAATTAAGGAGAAATTATTCTATCATGTATTTGGGATTTTTTTTATAATGTCAGAATAGGCATTCTGACATTCCTGTTAAGCATACAAGCCAAGATCAGATTATGAAGTTGAACATGAGTATGGTTTGCATTTTTAAAATGTGTCTACCTTTGATGTAGAGCAGATTGTTGTGAAAGCACTCTTGCCTCCCACCCTACTCTCTTAGTAACCAAACTGTAGTCAAAGTGTGATTTAAATGTACATACTTAAAGGAGGAGGTGGTAGAAGGAAGTGATATCGTAACATTGAAGAGTTCCAGATGTAACTTGAGCTTCACAGTGGAGTGGGATGGAGGAGATTTAAAGATTTCCAGGGTGTTGGCTGTGAGCCTAATGAGTTTAGTCCTAATTTCCTGATGGAGGAGGAAAGTGAGGTATCCATCCCTTTCCATCCAATTATAGAACCCTCTGCAGATCATCATGTAAGGCTATAGACTGTGTGCATGTACAACTTCAGGAGCAATGTACCTAGAGTGAGACAGGAGAGGTGGCTGGTGGTCCTTGGAGTGGAGCGGATCGGCAGACCTCCTTCTATCACTTTTATTATTGTAAATCTATGCTGTCTGATACAATAGCCATTAGCCATAGATAGCTACTTAAATTTAATAAAATAAAAACTAAATAATATTTAAAATGCAGTTGTTCTGTAGCACTAGCTATATGTCAAGTGCTTAATTCTCACATGTGGCTGGTGACTACCATACTGAACGGGGCAGATACAGAATATTTCTATCATCAAAGCAAGTTATTTTAGACAGTATAATATGAAGAAAGAAGTGGATTGGATGATTTACTGTATTTCTGCCTTGTAGTTCAATTTCTCTCTCTTGAGACTAAATGCAAATATTTTATATTATAGAGAATCCAGTATGAATTCAAACTTAATCAGGAGTTTGTGATAGGAAATATCCAATAGGTTGGAGTCATATACTCCTGCAATTCTCCTATATGGGCTTTACCTTTAAAATATTAAGCACACACACATATATATACCATCTTAGATAATAAAACAAATCACTGCTCTTCTTATATTGAGACTTGGAAACAGCTTCTGCATTAATTCAAAGAAACACAATAAAAAATAGAGTTGGTCAAAGCTTGTTTATTCTATTTAGAGTCCCAGAAATGTACTTCCTATTTCTTTTGTTCCAATTTGATGAAGCTTTGACACTACAGCGAATTATGTAAGTTATAAACAAAGAACTACATCATTATGAGCAGAACTTAACGTAATATCGTAATATCAGCCTTTAATGGTCTTTTGTAAACCTGTGGTATGAATAGCAGTGCCTTACAGAAAATAGCACAACTGATCTAAAGAAAGCACTTTCATTCTGCACATTAACTCATTCAAGAATAAAGGACACCACACTATACAATGAAGTGTATTGAAATAGAAAAATTCATGAAGCCAAGACTGCCAAATTATTTATCTTTCATTAAAAGAGAAAATCACACATTATTATCTCTGGTAAATGAACGTGTTTGTCAAAGTTGGCCGTGGGCTCAGAAATAATAATCATAAGAAATTCTATCCTCAATAAAGTAAGTATAACTCTGTTTTAATATAAATTTTAGGAAAGGGATTTCTGAGCATGGAGTACTTTCAAAGGAAAATTTAAATAGCCCTGTGGGTCTTGCCTGACCATCAGTAGGGATGACACATGCGTCTCTACAACTCGGTGGAATAGCTCATCCATGCCAAAGATATTTTTCTATCCTTGTAACTCAGTTACTGATCAATTCATGCATAAGCAAGAATCTTAATAACGATTGAAGATTTTCAGCTATAGAAGCTTGGAATTCTATGCCCAGAAAGGAAGTAGATATGCAACACTTTTTAATTTTAATAACTCCCCCTTTTTACTTTTTTGGAAAATTTAAATAATATGTGCCAGAGAAAGATACCAAACAAGAATTTCCATTTCAAAACAGTTTCATTTGAGGCTATACAATGAATAGCATGGAGATAATGTGCAGGTGTCCTGTCTTGGTTCTCACAGTCAAGAGCAAAAGTTTCAGCCTACTAAAACTGAGAGCTTTCAACTTAGAAACTCTTTTTGTTCTAATCATAAACCATGCATTTGCAGGAAGCAAGGACATGCCAAATTAAATAAAAAGTTTCCTTTCCTGTTTCAGAGAAACTCTGAAGAAGGTTTTTCTTTTTAAATTATTTGTTTATTTATTTTTTTTTTTTATTTTTAGGGGCAAACTGCCAAGTCTGTAAATATTCCTGGAAAAATTTCTGAATAGGCACCTCTTGATATTTTCATTGAAGAGTCTTGTCACCTTAGAAAAAGGGAAAATATGCTGCATCCCTTAGCTATTCAAGGAGAAACTTGAGTTACAGTGAAAGATTTCTGCTATGTTTTTAGTATGATCTTCTGAAAGTTTTTGTAGATGCTGAAACTTCTGAGGGAGTTAAAAATTCACCTTTAGAACCAACCTGGCTGGCTCTAACCCCTGAAATGTTTTCCATTATTCATAGTTGCTTCAGGAGCTCATATTAACTTTCAATAGTACTGTTGTGATAATTAATGATTATGGCACCTCCATCCTGCAGGCCCTGCCCCTTTATTTTGCTGTCCTCTTGATGGAGGTTTAGATTATCTTTCTATAGAAAATATTTCATTTTAAAGAAAGTTGTGTGTATTATTTTATAAAACAATACATTCAGGTTCCATCTCATACCTCTTTTTTTTTTTCTTTTTTGGTTTGGGGGATCTATTGGACCTTTCTCCTATTTTTACTACATTCTAACTCACAGAGATGATCTGAGTTCACACCCCTTTGTTGTCAAAAGAGGAGAGACCTTTGGAAGCCACGTTGGCATACTTTCAGGTACCAAAGGAAGAAACTTAGACATAAAACTACCAACTGTTCACAGCATTGTAGAATGCCAGAGCTGGAGAAAACCCTGAAAAAAAATGCCTGAGAAACATAGCAAGATATTGTCTCTAAAAAGTTTTTCTGAAAGTTAGCCAGGAGTGGTGGTGTATGTCTGTAGTCCCAGCTCTCTGGGAGGCTGAGGTGGAAGAATCTCTTGAGCCTAGGAGTTCAAGGCTGCAGTGAGTTATGACTGTGCCAATGCACTCCAGCCTGGGCAACAGAAGGAGACCTTGACTCTACAAAAAAGATTAAAATTCTTTTAAAAAAATCTCTAAAAAATAGAGTCTATCTGCTTATATTTTAAAGATGAAGAGAGATTTACATACAGATAGATTTTGTGAATCAAAGCTGAGTCTAAGTTTCAGGTCTCTGGATTGCCAGTAGAGCCCTCTTTCCCAATACCCTGTACTCTTGCTGCTGTCTTTCCTGAGTAGCATTTAGTCTCTCTAACTTATTTACTTTAATCCCAAGTGGAGTTGCCTACATTACTCCCTTTCTGGTCTCTGGAGCGTGTGACTCTTTGCTGTGTGCCCCAGACCCATCCCTGACCCTCTGGAAACTTTGTGACTATCACCCACAAACAGCTCCATCCCTTAACAGCTCCATCCCTTTCTGTGAACCTCTGGCATCTGTTTCTCTAACCATCATTTTCTTTCTTCTCTTTTGTCTCTGTTCCTAAGGGTTTATCTGATATCTGTTCTCAGGGTAAACAAGTCAGGCTATAAATTCCCCTTACAGGAATTTTGGACAGGAACAGCCTGACTTATCTTAGAACTTTGACACTTCAGAGAATTGGAAAATGTACTTCATCTTGCAGGAGGCATCCCTCAGCATTTTTAGCAGGAAAAATATGTTTTCTCTGCTAAGTGCTTTTAGTGCTTCTCAATTATATTCTTTTCTCTTTCTGCTTTTCCTTCAATTTTTTTAGTAGGTAATCCACTTGTTGGATTATCATGAGCATGTGAAATTTATAATAACAATAAAAAACTCATAATGATGTACAGTATTTAGGGTGAAAATAAATCATAATTCCTGAATAGAGCAAGGAGCCCAATTAGAACCTAGGATCTAAATGTATCAATTATTAATAGTTAGATGGACTGAGTAAAGTAGATTGAACCATATTCCACCTGGAATTGATGTTATCTCCTCAGAAAGATGATTTTATCTTCTCCAGCTTGGGGAACCTACTTCATCATAGGCAGGAGTTGGGAACAGATAAAAGTCCTGACGGTGATTCCTGAGGTAAGCAGTAGGTTAGGGGACAGAAACCCAAGGGATCAGCCTCCTCCCAGCAGTCTCCTCTAACTCAATCACCCTGTCTAGCCCAAAATTGTGCACTAATGGAAGTGAGGCTCCATCCAGTCTTCCTTGTCAGGGAAGTCCCTTCTCGCAGGAGGAAGGAGGAATGTGGAAGGATTTATTTTGAGTACATCTAGAAAGGTGGAAAGTGATGGTGAAGCTACCCGTTTATGTGTGGAATCAGGAATATGGGATGAAAATTTTTTCAAATTTTTTTATTTCAGTCTAAATAAGAATTAACATCTAGAGTTAAGAAAATGATGTTTATCTTTCTAGAGCATCTATCATGCATTAGAAATGATGCTAGTGTTTTACATACTTTATCTCAAGCCTATCAATAACCCTTTAAATGGTATAAAAGAACAATTCACCTCTCTCCCCATATTCTCCCCAATTCAATCATTGTATAAGCCTGTGGAATCTAAATATCATCCTAGTAAAAAGCAAGGAGGAAAAAAACTGAATTGATCAAGTGTAAATATTTAATAACTGAATTCACCTAAAACTTACTAAGATATTAATATTTTCCAATGGAGTAGAACAGAAAAAGATAAAGGAAGTTGCAATTTAAATATTTTTGAATACTTGGATTTAAAATTCATAAATTTGTTACAAATTCTTACATTGTAATATTACAAATGATACATATGTAAACATTATGAGGTGAAACTGGCAAGCAGGAGGCCAATCGGGTTGAGCTTGGGAAGGAAGGCTTTTGCCCATGGATGGTATTCTAGGTATAGAAGAACGGCAGGAATAAGACAAAGTGCTAGGAGGAGTTACATGGTCTTATTTTTGAGGGAAGAACTTAGCCACAGAACTCAGGCTCAAAGCTAACATGAGGCCACAGCCACTGTTGTTACACAGCACCCTGACCTCCTGGTCTGGGTTCTTCAGAACAACAACAGAAACTATCTTGAGATCTAATTTAGCATTAGCTCAGCAGGTGGGGATTATTTGGCCCAGATAAGGGAACCGGTAAGTGTAGTGGCACGTGGCCTCATTTCTTAGAATTGAAATGCACCTGGTTTGTATTTCTATTAAAACAACTCTCACTGCCGACCTTGAACATTAAAATACATTATTTCAGACTGTACATACGAATTTTAATAGTGTTAAGTTTCAGCCTCTTTTCTTGAATAAGCATTTTTCATTCCCAATCACAGTTTTTGTTTAGTTTTATGCTTATAGATGAATCCTAGTTGTACATATTTTTGGCATACTTGTGATATTTTGATACATGTATGCAATGTGTAATGATCAAATCAGGGTAATTGCAATATCCATCACTTCAAACATTTACCTTTTCTTTGTGTTGGGGATATCACAATTCTCCTGTTCTAGCTATTTTGGACATAGAGTAAGTTTTTGTTAAATTTTTCTACCGTACTATTAGATACTAGAACTTGTTCCTTCTATCCTACAATGTTTCTGTAACCATTAGCCAACTTCTCTTCTTCCTGCCCATCACTTCCCAGCTTCTGGTAACCACCATTCCAGTCTCAACCTCCATGAGATCCAATTTTTTTTAGCTCCTACATCCCAATCACTTTTTGAGGTAGCTGAAGCATCATCTACCCACTGATAGATGTACCTGGTTTACTTCAGTCACGTGGCACACAGACCTTTAGACAATTCTTTCTTTTTCTAGGAATTATATCCATATATAACCTAGGGAAATAAAAAGTTACCAGGAGAATCACCACGTCTATTACTTAAAAGGGACATCAGAAGTGAATATTCCAACTTTCCAGCCATGTGGACATCCCGTCTATAGCATCCCTAAGGGGAGGTCTGGTCTCCTAGCCTGTCTTATGTTGATTGGTTCCTCTTTCTAAAATGTCTTTGCTCTGGCCTAAGAATCTGGGAGAAAAGCACTCCAAAGGATGCAGGATAAAGAACACATTCGTTTGAAATTAGGAAAGATGAAATTTGGAAAAAATAGTAGCATTAAGGGTTGCACTAAATGTATTATAAACCAAAGGTTAATAATCTGTTTCTTAAATTCTTCCTTCAAATTTAAATAATTTTTTCATATATCAGTTGTCAGTTCTATTCATTCATCATTTATTCCAAAATAAATTTAAAATACCATAGAAGCACATAAAAAACAGCAAACCAACAGAAGTGAGAAGAAAATCAAAATAATGCGAGACAAAAATGAGGCAGGGACAGAGGACATTACAAAGTCTATTCAGTTGTTGCATATACTTACAATGAGTGGTTATCAGACTTTATTCACGTAGTTGCATAGGGATCATTTATTTTCCTTGAAGTCATTGAATTGATTTAATTGATTTAAATAGAAGTGTGTCCTATGCTTTTCTACTTAATTTCATAGCAGATTTTTGTCTACAAATTGACACACATTTTGACCAAGTTCAAAGCTTCATAAAATCCTTTTGTTTGTACTAGTGAAATGGTCCCAGGTATTTTCTATCTCTATTTGTTTATTCCCCCAAAATATGACCACCTAATGTTGGAAATAAATGGCTCAAAAAGATTGTAAAGTAACAAATACATCTTTAAATTACAGTATATATATCCACAAATATTTATTGACTGCTAAGCACTGTTATAGAAATTTGGATCTTATCATTAAAAAAAAAAAACAAAAAAAAACCTAGCTTCCTGAAGATTACATCCAACTGTAGTGGTTTTCACTGAGCTGCATGTTGGAATCAATGAGAAAAGTAAAAAATGTTCTGATGCTTGGACCGCATGAAATTCTGAGGTAATTGATTTGGGTGTGGTCTGGGCATCATCAGGCTTTTTAAAAACTTCCCAAGTATTTTAAACATGCAGCCAAAATTGAGAACCACCATACAAGTGTAAAATAGGTAATATTTTTAATTCAAGGCAAATATTTTATATTGAATTCTGTGTCATACTCAATATCAGTGCTATTTATAGCATATAAACTAGAAAATGAAACAAGTTAAGAACTATTTTTTATGAGAGTTGTTGTAATTAAGAGGCCAGATATGAAACACCAAATGGACTTGTAATTATAAAGCGGAAACATGGTGGTAGAATAAGAGAATAAGACTTATAAAAACATCTTAATCAAATGATTGTTCTTGGGGTACAATATCACATCGCATTTTGACATCTGAATTCTTTCAGACAAGCCACAACATGGCAATAGTGTTTTGTCACAAAATTAAATAATTTGCTTTGAAAATAAATGTGTTTTTCTTTTGCATCTTTTCTTCAATACAAAAGCTTTCCTTAATGAAAAGTTGTACACAGGTTAGTGTACATGGCTATCATGTTTCTTCCAGTGAATGGGGAGTGGGTATTGTACATGAATGGTTCTTAAGGCACTATTCTGACTTCAGACCATGTACCTAGTACCCCAAATCCAAGAAATTATATATTTTTTTAAGTTGTGAATTTATGCTTGTGGTGGACAAGTTGAAGTAGTAGATTTTCTTTTTTTTTTTCCCCCCCCAAAAATAGTTTTATTTTGGAACTGATTTTTCTTTTGGCAGAACTGACTATCCAACTGTATGGCTACCTCATTCTTATGTCAGCAATTCCGAACATGTGGAGCTCTTTTTGAAAACAGTGCCTATATAGGTTTGCATTTAAGTATGTCTCTCTCATGCTTATTTATTTGCTCATTTGAAATGAAGTAGGCTGAGGCCTTATCAAACTTTAATGTGAATACAAATCACCAGTTGTCAACAAGAGTAGAGATTGAGATTTTCCCTTACCTGCAAACTAAGTTAGCCTCCCACAGTTTCATGTATTTTGGCAGAATACATGAGGTTTGTGGTCCAGAGATAACCTATTACTCACGACACAGAAGGCAGAATGATGCTTACATTACCATTGCTTCCCCTTACTCCTCAAGTACATGCTGAGTACGCAGTAGGTTTGTATCACTGTTGAGGAACTTCAAATGTAGGAAAGTCCAATCTTTAAACAAGTTACATAAAGCTCTTTTCTGCCTTTCCTCCAATGGGAAACATTATTTTTATTACCTTGGTCAGCAAATGAATCTGTCCTCTGCTTTGCAGTGAGATACCATGTCTTTCTTTTGAGACCATTTGCTATACAAACATCCTTGAAAACAAAAGCTGTCAATGCCTTCAGACTTTCAGAAGACATGAAGTATGAGATACCCATGGAGAACTGTGTCCCAACACTGAGGATTTTGTTTGAATAAAAATTCTGATTCAGGTGGTTTGGGGTTGAACCTGATATTCTTCATTGCTAACAGGTTTCTAGGTGATTGATGCCAATGACCAAATGGCAAGCAGTAGTGGGCATGTTTATTATACTCTGTAGCCTGGCATACTGTCTTGATTTTAAAATTCGGCAGAATTGTATGTGGGTATATGATGACGAGGCCATGGGGGAAAAAAAAACTGATGCGTCTCCTGACATACTATGTTTGTCTCTGTGTGTGTGTGTGTGTGTGTGTGTGTGTGTGTGTGTGTGTTGTATGCACTGACAACCTGTCTAAACGTGGCCAACTTAGAACACTGTGTAATGTCACATACTACATATTCCTGACATTATAAGAACTCTTTGCTACCTAGGCTTTTAAGGAGAAAATCTTGTGCAGTGATTAAGAGTATAGACTCCAGAGTCAAAGTTCCTAGATTCAAATTTGGATTCTGCCATTTACTAGCTCTATAAACTTTAGCTAGTTATTGAACTTCTTTGCGATTCAGTTCCCCATTTATAAAATTGAGATGATAAAAGTCAATAGGGGCCAGACACAAGGGCTCACGCCTGTAATCCCAGCACTTTGAGAAGCTGAGACGGGTTTATCACTTCAGGTCAGGAGTTCGAGACCTTCCTGGCCAACATGGTGAAAATCAGCCAGTGTGATGATGTGTGCCTGAAGTCCCAGCTACTCAAGAGGCTGAGGCAGGACAATCGTTTGAACCAGGAGGTGAGGTTGCAGTGAGCCAAGATCATGCCAGTGTACTCCAACCTGGGTGACAGAGTGAGACTCCCCACCCCCCAGAAAAGTCAAGAAGTGTCAAGTGCTTAGAAATACCAGTCCACTGGTGACAGCTACATGAATCTTTGCTATTATTGCTGGGTCTACTAACACCCTTTTTAGATGTATACATGAGTTGAAATCAAATTATGAAATGAATTGGCAAAAATACTTGCTCTTCCATTGAGCAACACGAAATATGAAGTTTACGACATTAAAAATTTGTAATCAAATTATTGTTCTCACCTAATCATGTTATTAAGGACTCAATAGCTATAAACTTCTAGTTATTAAAAAGTAAAATTATTCTCTAAGTTACATAAAATGAAAAATACATTTTTATTATATGAAATATCACAGATTGCATATATGATTAATGTACCTTAAGTGCCGTATCTTAAGAATAATACCTTAAAGTAAACAAAGTAATTACTATGCTATTGAAACATTGAGGTGAATGAATGGTCAACTAATACTTTTGTTGGCCTTCTTGAATTTAGGAGAGGCATTTGTATAATTCTGTTCAACTTAGTGAAACGGCTCTGTTGTCTGGGGTATATACCCTGGTTTTTGGTCTCAGTTGAGAAAGAATTCCAGACATTGATGCACATGGGAGTGAGTTTTAGGAGCAGAAAATTTAATAGAAAAAGAGGAGAGAGAAAAAAGGATTCCTCATATTGAGAAAGTGGGTCACCCAAAAGAGGGTCTCTAGTTTGTGGTGGAAGGCAATTGATTTTCTACAGGGGCTTGAGGAGGAGGTGATTGATTTACACAGGGCTCAGGGGATTGGATCCACCAGGTGTGTCTTTTACGTAGCCAGCGAAAAGACTGGCCCTCCCACCCTAGTCTTTTATTATGAGAATGTAGCCTCCACCTGGCTGGTCGCCATGAGGCCTGTACATGTGGGTTTATCTGGAGGCTGCCATGACACCTGGTACGAGTAGCGACAACAAAAAGAGGGCAGGAGACACCATATTGAATTTACCTGGCTTCCAGGTACAGCTGCCTGCATTTACATATAAAAGCTTCTAGTTTGCATATCTATGCCTAAGTTATCAGGTTGCTTTCTGTAAGAGAAGAAATGGTTTAGGGCTGCTTTTTACTAAAGGAAAATTCCATGGAGAACTTTGACCCTTTCTAGTTGCCTAAAAATTATTTCCTAATAACTTCTGTATTATCAGCACATATGAATAAATGTCTCTTATTTGATGGTTGTCTTACCAGACATTGCGGATATAGAAACAAGACCTAGCTATTAAGTATCTCACAATATAATGGAGAAAGAAAGGTACGCATTATATACCATTATTTAATTATAGATATTACATAAGAATTTGTGGACACTGAACAAGGAGCAATAATTTTCGGCTTCCTAAAACATGAAGTACATCAGAATTTGACATAATTGTGAATCATTTTCCTCTCAATAACATTTTCCAAAATAAAGAGCATCTTTCCTTTTGCCATTCATTTTATGCAATTTATTAAAAAAAATCATTCATTCAAAAATAATTTATTAACTGTCCTGCTATGTGCAAGGAATCTATAAGAGGTGCCAGGGTTAGAAAAACAAAATAAAAACAAAAACAAACATATGGTCTATGACCTCAAAGATGCACCGTGTGTAGTCAAGGAAGACAAATAACCGGCTGCATGAACGTTGATGTGATAATGATGGAGGTAACACACAGGTGGCTTTGAAAACGTGCCTTGAAGATCATGCCAAGGCATGCTGCTGTTCTTTCATTTAACTTTATTTTGGGGGTAATAGAGTGACTTAAACTATTTTTGCGTTTATTATCTATTTGTATATTTATTTCAGTAACTGCCTGCTCATCTGCATCATTCCCTTTAGTTTCTATTGAATTATTCATCTTCTTTTAAACTAATTTCCAAGGTTTTTATCTTCATGGCACTGCAGCATCATTAAAGGATTTTAATAAGGGAAGTAGGGAAAGGGTTTATGGGTGCACATAAATTTTGTAAAACTTATCACTATTCTATCATGTTTTTCTTATACCCTATATGGATATTTCAAAAAATCAAATCAAATCAAGCAGCAGAGTAGTATAGAGCAAGAAACAAAGTCCTCTGCTGTCTGTCTCCAGCAGTCCTACTCGCGAATGTAAGCACTTTTAAATTTATTTTGTGTTTCTTTCAATAAACTTTATAAACATAATCAAGTATGTACAGTTGACACCCTTGAAAAACATGGGGTTTAGAGTTACCTAAACACACAGCCCCCTCCCCATGCAGTTGAAAATCTGTATAACTTTTGACTCCCCAGAAACATAACTATGAATACCCTACTGTTGCCCAGAAGCGAAGTTGTATTCTTACAATAAAGTAAGCTAGAGAAAATAAAATGTTACTAAGAATATTATAAGAAAGAATATATTTACTATTTATTAAGTGGAGGTGGATCACCATGAAGGTCTTCATCCTCACCGTCTTCACATTGAGTACGCTGACAAGGGATTGGTCTTGCTGTCTCAGGGTGGCAGAGGCAGAAGTAAATTCCAGGATAAATGGACACACACAGTTCAAACTTGTGTTGTTCGGGGTCAAGAGCATCTATTTCTATCTTTATCTACCTATATATTGGTATACATATATAAAGCTTAATAGTAATTTTAATAGCAATGAAATCATTCTATTTGATATTTGTTGACTTTTCTGTTTAATGACTTGAATAATTTTTTATATATCGTTATACTTAGATTTATCTCATTCATTCCAGCTTTTTAATATTAGTAATAGCCATTGGTGATTTATACATATAATATTAAGTATGTTTTCAATCTTTTGTAGAGTGTGTTAATGGAAATAAAATTGCTAGATTAAGGGCATGTGCATTTAATATTTTAGTAGATAACACTAAAATATTTTTTTCACAAAGACAGTACCAATTTACACTCCCATCAAAAATGTATGGTTTTTTTATTTCTACCAATGCTTACCAACACTAGCTATGGTAAGCTTTCTAATATTTTCTAAACTGAGATAAAAGTTATTATTACAATTTTTTAAGGTGCAGTTTCTTAGTTATAAATAATTTAGGGTATGTTTACAAAATCGTATTCATTATTTTAACGTATGTGTAAGGGTGTGTGTGTGTGTGTCTGTGTGAATTTCCTGTTCATGTCCTTAACCAATTTTAGAAATTGAGTTGTTTTTCCTTAATCTCAAATTTATTTATATTAATTATCCATTTTAACAACCTAGAGTTATTCAAAAATCCATAGATGCTTTAGAGGATGGGGTTTAGTTTTGCCAATATTGTTTTCAGATAAGGAGTTTTCAAGAGAGAACTTTGGTAAGAAATACTGCAGAAGGCCGTAGAAGTTAATGGCTAAAGAAGATTTACCACTCAATATTCTTTCACCTGCACCAGGCAATTAGCACCCTACTCATTCAGTCAAGAATATCTTTGAAAAATAACATGAAGTTGAAGTTCATTCTTCTTTTAAAGCTCAATAGAATCCTCTCTTTCGCCTTATGAGCACTTTAGTTTTAAGTTCTTAGGCTTTTTTTTTTTTTTTTTTAAATACATTTGTGCAGCTTCCATGCTGAAATATTCAAGAAGAGTAAAACACATCAAACGTATTTAAAGATAATGCTTGGGCTTGTGACCTCTGTACATTTGAATATATTGTTTTTATGTGTTCTGAATAACTTTATTCCGAAATAAGTTTCCACATCATTCAGGTTTGTTAAAGTAGTTAACACAAGGCTATTAGCAACTTTTAATAATAAATATTATACTAGTTCTAAGTTGTTCATTAGACATATTTTCCTTGGAAAATATTAACAGTATAAACATTTCATGATTAATAATAAAAATATATAACTAAAAATATGTAATTTTATTTTTATTTATTTATTTATTTTGTTATTATTATTTCTTGAGACAGAGTTTCACTCTTGTTGCCCAGGCTGGAGTGCAGTGGCACAATCTTGGCTCACTACAACTTCTGCCTCCTAGGTTCAGGTGATTCTCCTGCCTCAGCCTCCCAAGTAGCTGGAATTACAGGCATGCGCCACCACGCCCAGCTAATTTTTTTGTATTTAGTAGAGGTGGGGTTTCACTGTGTTGGTCAGGCTGGTCTTGAACTCCTGACCGCAGGGTGATCCACCTGCCTCGGCCTCCCAAAGTGCTGGGATTACAGGTGTGAGCCACCGTGCCTGGCCATGTTTGTTTGTTTTTTAGAGATGGCCTCTTGCTCTTTCACCCAGCCAAGAGTGTAGTGGCATGATCATAGCTCACTGCAGTGTCAAGCTCCTGGGCTCAAGTGATCCTACTGCTTCAGCCTCAGTAAGTATAAATATTATCCATAGTGATAATCACATAAAAGTAGATATAAATAGATTCATTAAAAGTATGAACAAGTTTATTTTAGGATATATGGCAAAGACTAAATGGAAAATTTCAACAAAATTTACCTTAATTAGAAAGTAATCTTTACAAAACATATTTAGATGTTAAAATGTTGTCTATGAGGGAGTTAGCCTGATGTAAATGCTTTGTACAGCAGCTATTTTAGAGATGAGTCTCCATTGCTTGATATGATTGTCTTTTTAAAGATGCTGAATATAGATTTTAAGTTCTCAGAAGAAATTTAATAAAAACCTATTTTATGGCTCTCATTGTATATATGGAGATATTTCTGGTCTATTGGTAAGTTTATCTGAACTGGTAACTGAAAATAACAAGTTTCAAGAAATAAACTCACATAATCAAAATATGATTCCCTTTAATAAACCATTCTATTTTTACAAGAGTTACCACTGTTTTTGAAGAAGTTAGATAATATACTAAACGAAGTTTTCAGTAGCTGTTTAATAGTAATAGATTAGGTGTGTGCATTTTATTTCCAGTATTTCATTGAGTAGAGACCTAAGTGATATTTTAATTCAAATTCAGAAAAATGAAGAAAACCAATTTTTTTATTAAACCTTATGTGTAAAATAAACTCTATCTTATAAAAAACAAAATGTTATTTGCTGATTCATGCAGAAAACATTGATGCCAGCTCATAACAATAAATGGAGAAAATTTGTTGTAATATTGATTTTTAATTTGAATTACTGAAGATAGCGCTAATGAAAACAAATCTGAAAAATATCACTCTCCATCTATCACTGAGTGGGGTCAGGAAATTACTTCCATCATTATTTGTCTTCATTATTTAATGTAATATGAAGAGTCATCTTGAATTTGGAGAAACATATCATTTCAAGGTGACTATAAAACACAAAGCCTTGGCCGGGAGTGGTGGCTCATGCCTGTAATCCCAGCACTTTGGGAGGCTGAGGCGGGCGGATCACGAGGTCAGGAGATCGAGACCATCCTGGCTAACACAGTGAAACCCCGTCTCTACTAAAAATACAAAAAATTAGCTGGGTGTGGTGGCGGGCACCTGTCGTCCCAGCTACTCAGGAGGCTGAGGCAGGAGAATGACATGAATCCGGGAGGCGGAGCTTGCAGTGAGCCAAGATGGTGCCACTGCACTCCAGCCTGGGTGACAGGGCGAGACTCCGTCTCAAAAAAAATAAAAAAATAAAATAAATAAATAAAATAAAACATGAAGCCTTTTTTCTGGTGCATGTTCTTTGAATGTTTGTTAGAAGGCAGTAAAATATGGAGGCTCAAGGCAATGAAGTTTGGTGCTTTAGACCAGTGCTTCTCAAACTTTAATATATCTGTGAATTACTTGGAGAGTAGGTCTGAAGGGACAGGGGCTTAGAATCTTTATTTCTTTATTTTTCTTTTTTTATTTCCATTTCAATGGGTTTTGCGGTACAAGTGGTTTTTGGTTACATGGATAAATTCTTCAGTGGTGATTTTTGAGATTATGGTGCACCCATCACCCAAGCAGTGTACGCTGTACCTAAAATGTACTATTTTATCCCTCACCCGCCTATCAATCTCTACCCCCAAATCCCCAAAGTCCACTATATCATTCTTATGCTTTTGTGTCCTCATAGCTTAGCTCCCACTTATAAGTGAGAACATATACTATTTAGTTTTCCATTTCTCAGTTAGGAATTCAATCCACTTAGTTCTGAGTTCACTTAGAATAATGGACTCTAGCTCCATCTAAGTTGCTGCAAAAGACATTATTTCATTCCTTTTTATGGCTGAGTAGTATAATTAAATAGTCAAAAACCAATAGATGTTGGCAGGGATGTTGGGAAAAGGGAACACTTCTGCACTGCTAGTGGGAATGTAAACTAGCACAACCACTATGGAAAACAGTATGTAGAATCCTTAAAGAACTAAAAGTAGAACTACCATTGAATCCAGCAATCTCATTACTGGGTATCCACCCAAAGGAAAAGAAGTCCTTACATGAAAAAGACATGCACACGCATGTTTATAGCAGTGCGATTCATAATTGCAAAGATATGGAACCAACCTAGGTGCCCATCAACCAATGAGTGGATAAAGAAACTGTAGTATATGTAAACCGAGAAGCTTCATTGCTAACAAGCTCCCCTTTGATGCTGATGCTTCCAGACTGTGAGCCACACTTTCAGTAGCAAAGCTTTGGAGCACTTTCTACTATGGAGTCACGTTTTGTATCCTAGCCCTTGCCCAAATGTGAACCTGGATAAATTACACTGTACTTCAGTTTTTGAATCTGTGAAATGGAATAACAATGAACTTACCTAATAGGGTTGTTGTGAAGTTTACATGAGTAAATATACAAAAAGCTCTTATAATAGTCCGTTATAATTAGTAGACATTTCTGAAGCTATCATTTTATTTTTTTATTTCTTCCCAGTTGAGCAATAATGTGTTGTGATAAAGATATAGAAACCATCATTAGAGAATTTAATTTGTTTAAATCTAGACTTTAGAAATAATCTAAGGAAAATCCTATATTTTACAGTCTAAGTGTTCAGATTAGCTAAATACAGAGAAATGCGGTTTGTTAATCTCCTGGTATACATTCTGCTTCCTTTTGCCACCCTCACCATTGTCCACTATAAATGATTTTTTTTTAACTACAAATATCTCAAACGCTTTTGAGAAATCGACAATTTAAACTACCATGTGGAGGTAAAAAAATGAACAAACAAAAAACTGAAAGGCAAATCATACACATTGTTACCTAGAAACCCCAGATTTTCCTTCAAGATGGTGCAATAGCAGTGACTTGCTGTGCTAGCCTCTGTATCTTTGTCCTTAGCATTTGTTTCAGTAGTGATACATCTGTAACCTCAAAGGTATAAGTGATGCCCCTTCCACTGAATTATTTTTGAGTAAGATGGAGAGGTGAAAAAAATATAGGATGGGCTTCAACTTCAACTGCAGCCCATGCATTGATGATCTTTGCTGACAAGAATGTTGAACATAATGAAGGATGCATGACAAGATAGAAAAGTGGGTCATAAAAAACGGAACGCCTTTGCTGCCAGGATGCCGCTCTGGTTTCTGGGTTAATCATGCACTGCTGGAAAAAGCATTTGTGTTCACATGCCCGAATGAATCTAAAGACCATAATGAACAAAATCTTGTTTTTTTTCTTACCCCTCTATAATGGACACTGGTATTTGCTTTTCTGAGGAGGTAATTGTAGCTATCTTTCTCTCCCAGGTTTTTTTCTTTTTTATAGCCTAGATAACTGGATAATGCTTTAACAGCTATTAAATAATTACTATATTTGGCATTGAGGTAGCCATAGAAATAGATAAAGCAAAGTTAAGCTTCCAAGGAACTCATAACTTAGAACAGCGTATAATGCTTCTCACACATATCATCCAATGTGTGAGGTAAATGTATGAGATAAACATTATAAATGAAGTATTGCGGGTATTAGGAGAAGGGAAAAATTATCAGTGGACTTTCCTTGAAGGAATTAACAGTTAATCTTTGCCAGGAAAATTAAAGAGAATTTTAATATGAAAGGAGGAAGGGGCTTATCAGATGGGATTATAAATAAATCCTAGGCAAGCTCTGGTAACAGCAGCATTTAAATCTGGCCTCCACATAAGTTGTGTATTTGACAGTGATGGAATAAGAGAGTACTTGAGGGTCAGATCATAAGAGACTTTACTTGTGCTAAAGAATATGGACCATTTTTCTTCTAATGGAAATGGGGAGACCTGAAGATTTTTACATAGAAAATTATCATGTCTAAATTGTGGTTTCTGAGCATGCCATAATCAGCTGGTGGATATGGAACAAGGACTAGTGAAAATACAAGGAGTCAAGTCAGGATAATCTGGGGCTGTAGGCCTCTTCCTACTGAATGATGTGCCAAAAGGCCGAGATTAAATAACCCTTAGTTACTACATAAATTGACTTTCCATGTAACTTCAATGTTACATCTATTAAGCTCTATAATAAAAATCAATTTTCCACTCTTATCAAGACAAAGGAGTAAATATGGAAGCCATGGAAGCTGTGGCATGAGCACCATCTGAAGACGGTTATGCTGCCTTCTAAATCCAGGATCGTGACTCTTGGTCAAATCTAAAGAATAAAGATTACTGACTTTGACACAACGTGTTGTGTTTCTAATGGTAATAATGAGAACAGAAATTATTATAATTAATCCAAATTAATGAGAACCAGAAGGAAAATTGAAAATAAATGAAAAGTGAAAAGATTGTAAGAGTTAAGGAACAAACTAGTGCATTAAAAGTTTACTTTTATTTTGTTTGTATCTTGTACCTAATAGTAATCTAAATTATAGAAAACACTTTTGTTTTGTTTTCCACCAGAAAATGTCTGTTATAAATTTTGGAATAGAGAAACTAGTGGTGAAAAATTTATGTATTGTCAAAAACCATTCTAGGGTTCTTTTGTGATTACTCCTCAAAACAACCCTATTTCATAGTTGTTATTAACTTGCCATTTACAGATGAGGAAACAGTCCCAGAAAGATTAAATGATTTTCCCACATTAATTTTTCTATAAAATACCACAACCAAAGTTAGAGCCAAGATCTATTGGATCTAAAGCTCACACTGAAATTGTTCACTAATGTTGCATAAAGTCTACTAATGTATTTTACGGAAGAATCACAAAGCATGATTATTTCAACCAGTGAATCTGAAGTGATAATACTTAAGTTTATGTTTGGGCTCTGCTCCTTAACCAATTTGGCGTAGTCATACAAGAATTATTAATTATTTTTAGACTTTATTGTAAAATGGTGGTTGTTACCTGCTTTATGGTTGTTGCTGGAGTAATAGAAAAGCTCAATGTGAACTCACAGTCTTGAACACTATATAAATCATGCTGAATATTTTATTAATATTAATACCAAAGTTTAACATTTTATTTAGCACTAAAATGATGGTGGTAATAATATTTGGGCTTTGTGAAGCTCATACTTTTGATTTTAATATGTTCTGTTGGTTCTTGTGTTTAAATGAACCTTGTTATTTCCATTTGTCTAAATACACATAATGTCAGTTTAGAAGCAGAAAATCAACTCTAATTGGTATGTAAGAAGTAATTTGGGATAATGGTAGACACTCGATTTTGAAGTCCCACAGATCTGGTTTTATTTTTTAAATCAGACACCCTGGATGTATGTATTTAAGCAAATCACTTAACTTGAAATATTTCCATATTTACCAAATGAGAGATTAAAATATGTAAAGTTACTATGAGTATATGAGATAATATACATAAAGTCCCTGATACACAGTGAGTGCCTAGTGAAAGGCAGATTCTATTGTAGTTATTAAAGCTAATTTCCCATTAATTCCCTTGGGTAGATGACTTCACAATATCATGAGGGAGAAGACAACATTGGCAAAAAGAAATTTCATTTTTCTTCTGAAAGTTTAATAATAATAACAAACAAATAGGTCACCAGGGCTAAAAATCAGAAGGTTGACACTCTCAGACATTTCTTTGACCCTTAATATTCTATCAGGCCTGAAGAACATGAAATAATGTACTGGCAAGGAAATTGGCAGCGGGCTCCTGTGATTAAGGTCCACATTACAAAACAACTTATATTTAGGTACACAGATAAGATTTTTTGTGATCATTATATGTTAAACTCATATATATTTAGAAAGTTTTTATATTAATTTGTCATGGACAATAGGATTCATACTCTAAAAATAATGTAAAAGGAAATTGTTAATAATAGTATACCAAAAGATATCTTTCTTTGATGATTGCTCTGTAGGTTCTTAAGAGTGATAAAATGAATAGTCTTTGAGGTCAGATTACTTAGTTTTATTTTTGCTTTTCTCTAGTAGCTGTATGGCATTAGATAATTTGACTTTAAATTTTAGCTTCCTCATCTGGTAAGAAATAAAAAAGGGCAAACAGTTGCCTCTTAAGTTTGTAAAAATTAATATAATCATGTATGCAAAATACATAATATGATGCCCAACACTTTGTGTTAAGCACTCCAAAATGTAGTGATTCTTGCCAGTGGCAAGTTACCAACCATCACTGTGGAGCTCGTTGTCCTGTAGAAAGCAGTGGGCTGAATCTGACCTCATTTGAATGTTCCTTTGTGTAGGATATATAAATATTGGTTTATTTGCCTGCTGTTTTCTAAATTCTTTCTTTGCAAAATAGGTGAGAATTTATTCATTTGAGAATTCTGAGATTTATATCATCTCAGAATTTATTCGAAATTTCTGGTTCTTTGCTTACAGAGCAGTGGCCATTTCTATTTCTGTCCACCAATGTCTCAGCTTGTTTCCAGTACCAAATTTAAAATATGGAACTAATTGAAGCCAGTTTAAAAAGGCAAAATCAACTTAGCTTTTGAGACAAACCCATAATTTTTCACCACTGTTTTCTCTGCCTGCCAAAATAAGCACTTTCTTAGGCAAATCTTATTTTCCTTTGAAAAATCCATAGGTGTAAATTTGCAAGCCGCTTTCAAACTTTTGCCTCATTAAGCCTAATGCTTTTTGGAATCACAGTAAACTATTTGCTTCAATAATTTATTTTGGGAACTAGTTACAGGCACTAATTCAGCTTTATGCAGAGAAGTATTTCTTTCTACCCATTCTTTATTTCTTGCTTTTTAATGTTATTATATGTTCTTCATGTGAAACACCAAACTTTTATTCTCCATACCACTGATTGATCTTGTAACAAAACAAGTGTGTGGTTGAAGGGACATACGCATACATAGATAGTATTTTGTAATGTTGATGTCCTATCAGAATATTAAGGAAACATGAAAATACCATAGTCTACGCAGTGTATTCATAAATTGGAAATCAGAGTTTGATTTGTAAGTTTATTTTGAATATGAAATAGAATTTTCATGACAATAATTTAAGAAACAGTGATTAGAATACAGTCATTTAAATTCAGCACATACCTATGAAGCACATACTATGTGTAATGCTCTGTGTCCTCTTTACTACTGGGGACACACTATCTGACTTCATGAACTGAACTTCATGTACCTATAAATAGTGATACTAATAACTAGCATTTTCTGAGAAGTTATGCTAAATATTATATGTTCAACATACATTATCTCATTTATCCCTCCCAGTGAAGAGGATACAGTTGTTACACTCATTTCATAAATTAGGAGCCAAGACTTATAGATATTTAGTGTCTTGCCTGAAGTCAGAAAACCAGAAAGAATCCTTATTTGAAACCAAGCCTGCCAGACCTTGAAATTCATGTTATTACTCAGTAGAGGTAAAGCCTATTTAAATGTCTTATGTTCTCACCTTTAAGTACCACTATTAGCTAGATGGATATTTGCAGGCTAAGTTGAGTGTTTAATTGTCATTTACAATATTGCATTCTTCAATAGTGTCCCACAGATTGTTGATATTATATCTGCCTCACGCTTCAAAAAGTTAGCAGGGGATCCTTCCAACTTCAGGTCCAAAATTGAGCCCTGTTGGCCTCACTACCAGCAGTGGTGGCAAAAGAAGGCATGCCAGGTGAAGGGAGTAGAAAGGTGTTAAGGTCTCACCCAAGGTTAATGCCTTTGGCCTGAGGGAAGTTTGCCCTCAGATATAAATTAATGAACAGAGTTTGGGCCCCCAGACATGGATTGGTTCACCCTCTTACTCTACGTGTACGTTCTTACGTTGATATTTTAAGAAAGAAATTGTCAATGGGAAGGAATTTTAGGGAAGAAACAGGTAAATAATGAAAGAAGAAAATAGAAATTTTAAAAGAATATAGTAGAAATCTCTTAAAAAAACAGCAAACTTTTTTTTTTAATCCTCTAAAAGTAGATGGATTTGTGTTATTTAGTAAGAAGACATTTTCACTGTAAGTGAAAATCTCAGGACTTTCTAATCTTAGATTCAAAGTGTTTAAAGATATTGATGGGATAGAGTTTAAGAGATTATATTATTATTCACACATATGTGATTGTGTGGTAAATGGGCTACTGGGGGAGAGGAGGGCTTTACATCTCCTTGCTGGAATATTCATGGCTTGCGTAGGCTGGAAGAGTTGATGATGCCTGCATGCATTTTCATAGGGTGGAACAAATCTGAATGTTTTCCTGTTGGGGGGGTGGTTCATGGGCTAATCTGTGAAAACTTTTATTTATCTCTGTATTATACAAACCCGTGATTCTGTCATTAGAATTGTCTGAATAATTACCAAGCATAAAAGCTGCATCATGATTAAAACATGAAATACAGAGGATGTTTATCAGAAAATTTTCCAGATCTCTTTGAACTTTTACTTTCATGAGAGTAGATGTTTTTTGAGATTACCTCATGGGGAAGGCGTAACTGCCTAATCATAATAAAAGTCTTCCTTCCTATGTTTATAAAACTGACAGATGTGGTTTCCAGAAAGTCAGATAATTTAGAAGTCGAGAAAAAGACAAAACTAAATGGTAAGTTTGTAAAATATCTTAAATGATTCCAAATTCATTTTTCCTTTAGATCAATGTCTAAGTTTGGAGTAGTTGTAGACATTTTTCAATAAAATGATTTGTGTTAATCTAATACAATTTATCTGAAGGAAAAGGTCAAGAAATAAGAACATTTTTAAAATAAGGTATCTGGTGAAAGTAAATACTGAAAACTCTGAGACTACATGTTAGATTTGTCTCTTGAAAATTGTTTCAGATAGCTTAAAACTCATGAGATTATAATGCTGAATCTTTTAGATTATTCTTGCACGCGTATTTTTTACAAGTGAGGAATTTCAAACAAGAGAAATTATGACTCCGATGATAGAATTTGGCAAAACTTTTACTATAAGCCAGTCTTTTCAAATCTGTTTGTTGTTCTTTCTATGAAATCTTTTTTGACTCTCTGATTATTCGATATAATTGTCCTTAAAATAAAAAAAAAAACCGTCTGGTTTTACTCTTCATTTACAAGAGATATCAATAGTGAAAATTTAAAGTAAATGATTTGTTTTTTTAAATTTATTAATAAACTGATGATGTAGCTATGCAATTCTATGCTTATTTTTAATATATTTGAGGACACAGAGTTTTACTAGATGACAAAAAAGGCTAGTCTAGTGTGGATGGGTCTGCCTATATACTCTATTTCTATTTTATTCATTGTGCAGCACTGATGAAAAAGAGAAGGTCTAATTTTCTGGGTTCCAGTGACCCTCTGATGAACACCGGGTGCTGGAGGTTTCTTCTAAAAGATAGCAAGTTTAAAATCTGAACTGGTGAAAAGTAATTCATAATAATGCTTACTTAATCGGGAAATAAAAAGAGGGACTAGAGTATCTAAATGCAGATGAAAGACCTTAGCTCTGCTCTGTATTTCTGTGGGTTAACCTCACAGTGGTTAAGAGAGTGGTTTAGAAACAACCAATTTGCTGAGCAATCCTGCTGACCAGTTCTCAACGGAAGACCTGGGGGAGTACTCTGTTGCTCTCCAGAGCTCTCTCTGTAAGGCCCTCTCCTCTCTTGTACTCTGCCCTGACATTGCTAGCTGCCTTGGCCTCCTTGACATTTCATTCAGCTCCTGTCTTTCTCTCTAAATCTAGGCTAGCATTGGGTATAGAAAGATGATCAGAGACTGGGAAGAGCTCATGTATTGGTTAAGAGAAATCTGATGCAGTAATGTGGTCAGGCATATATTTGTAATATTTTATAGAGTAAAAACTCAATGCTGTTATATTTTATTGTTACAACATAAGCAAATCAAACTGTCCAACTCTCTACCTTTCTCCTGTTGCTTATTAGAGTTGTTAAGTTTAGAAAGTAATGGATAGGTTGAGCTTCACATTTTTTTGTCTCCTATAAACTCCCACCGCAGTAATATAGTTTTTATTGATTACATACACACATATTTTTCCTACTTTTCACACTAGTTAATTATTGTGCAGACCACAAAGGTGAGAGTTCTAGTGAAACATGCGCTATCTCTTTCCTTGGATTTATGTAAACAAATACAAACATGAAAGTAAATTTGACACAGCTTCTGCTTCTCCCCTGCAGTGGCTTTGTGTGTTTTCATGCCAATTGTCAACATCCATTTTTCTTATCGCAACACTTTTCCTCTCCTTAATTCAGTTTTTATGTAGAAATTTGCCCAAGAAATAACCTAGTTAACCTCAACTTCTGTTTCAGCATACTTTGACATTTGTTGGCTAGAAAATTCTTTTTTTTTTTTTTTTTTTTTTGGCTTTTTCAGCAGTAAGAGGTGTGTCTGCATTTAGAAAAATATGTTCAATTATATAACTTATTTTGAAATTAACCATTGAAAAATTCACAGGGAGGCAATAATGATTTAGATGGTTTTGATTCATATATTTATTTCTCATTCAAAAAATAACTGGAACCTTCATAGTAAGAGGGGGGCATGATGCTTGAGAACACTACCTCTGTTTCTCTAAATCTACAAAATAAACCCAAATAAATAAAAATGAGAATAGATAAAAGAGAATGCAATAAGTCCTATCTTTTAAAAAGTCATAGGCAAAGGAAGAGAAAAAAGGAACCTTTAAAATAACATAGCGATTTCATCAGCTTTCAATTTCCTCTGTATGCCAAATATATTGATATGTTAAGAAAAAAAGTTTAAGAGACAATATCATAAAAAAACCCCTCCATTACCACCCCGCTCAAAATAATAGAATGAGCCCAGAGGCAGAGTTCTTAACATGAATCTCAGGAAGTCTTTGCTTGGCCCATAAAGTGCTAGGTGGCCTGACCTCTAGACACATCTCTGTTTCTCTCGTATCTCATCCCCTTAATTCACCCGGGTCTGTTTTCTTTGTCCTTAATTTCCTGAACATGCGCAAACCCTAGAGTCTCTTCTGAAGCTTGGTCATGTGACTGAAACGTTTTTATACAGCCTTCACATGATTAGCTTGTTTTATTATTGTTTAGATCACTCTAAAAGTGATTGCTATGCAAACCTTCATGATATGAATGAATAGCAGCATTCATTTTAATTACAAAATCAGATAGGGCTTGCCCTCTTTAGAGTTAGTGATGGGTTAGGCACTAACTAGGAGTACTTCTAGCTTGGGGATGTGCAGGTATGTTTCTGTTTCTTAATGGGAGTGTGAGTAATGTTTCCTTCCTAGATCTAGACATTGGTTTTTGAAGGTGCTTAGTTTGTGAAATGTATTAGGCAATAAAATTATATTCTGTATACTTTTCTGTATATACTTCAACAAAAGGTAGCAAAATACACACAGTTACAAATCTTATCTCATGTTATCAGACACTGTATAACCACAAGCAAGTGGTACTTAAACATGTTTATTTGGATTTTGTTTCGTTTTGTTTTTTCTGATCCCATTACTTTGTGTTTAGCCTCACATAATATCTCCATCCACTTCTGGAATTTTAAATGCTAAGAACTGAAGGCCATCTTCTAATTCTTTGGACTTAGACCAGGCCAAGTCTTGGACATGAAATGTTTCATTCTTTCACCAAATAATTCTCACTCACGCCAACCCCACTAAAATAAATAGCTACAAGTTTTCATCTTCATTTCCTCATCCGCAAATTTCACTCACATAGTCTTTCATTGGCAAGTAGTCATTTTTTTGCCTTGTGAGTTTATTTTGCTAAGTGTTGTTTGTATTTATTAAGTATTCTTAACATGATATTGTAACTTTCACTTACAATATGGAATATATTCATTAGAGTACATAAGGTGAGAAAGTCTGGAATTAGAACTGTTGAGAGCCCGTAGCCTGGAATTACATGGTACTGCCAGATGGAAAGTAGTCACGACTTCAGCAGGAAGAATACAGGTGCTCTTCTTAGAAAACTAGTCTGTTCAGAGAAATAGTCTGATGGTTACATTGCGATTGCAGTGTATGACTTACCTGGGCCATCTGGACTCAGCCAATCATACAACTTCATTGAAATCCACTAGTAATTTCACTTACAGTTGTTTAGGTTTTTGGCTTTATAAAAATCCTGTACTAGCTCCTTTTCCTGAAAACCCCATCTCACAGGGACTAAGCCTTCTTTGTTGGGTGAGGGTTTCTCTGCCTTAACTAGCAACCAACTCAGGTGAATTTTCATGATGTCTCTAAGTCTTTATTTTTCCCTTGTCAACTCAAAATATAATTTATAGTTAATGTTCTTTCACTGCATTCTTATGCAGGATTTTTATGTATATTACTTACAAATATGCCCTTTCATGTGTTTATTGAATTGACAATTGATGTCTTGAATATATCATACAATAAGGGAATTCTCAGTGAATTATTATGTAAGTGTTTAAGGGTGTTTTCTTAGTATCTGAGGAAAAATTGGTTGGGATTTTGAAATGGCTTGGGAATGAATTATTTTTTACAGTTAAAATAATAGAACAAGACTCCTGTTATTTAAAAACTTGGTATTCAACTCATTTGCAGGATTGGGCTAGATTCAGATAACAAGGAATGCCTGTATTAGCAAATTGAATTAAATGATATACAAGTATAATGCAGCATTATAAAATAGCCAGTTAAGGTTCATGCCATGAATTAAAAAATGACTCAATATTAATAAATATAATACTACAGAGAATGAGCCCACTGGAAAAACTGCTATTTCATCACCAGTCCAGTTACTGAATTCTTATTTTTTCAGTTTTTTTTAGTGGATTTTGTTTTTAGTATTATAGTCAAATTATCTGGGAAAAGTAACCATTTTCCCTATTCATTTAGAATTTTTATGTATCTTCTGAAGTTTTTCAAGTTACATTAGCTACTTCTACAAAAGGGCAAAACTACAGTTGTAACATTGGGCGTTGATGTCTTGTCCCTGAATTAAGAAATATTGGTCTTTTTTTTATATGATAAAGATTCATTTCATATATGTGAGGAATACAAGGATTATTGCACAAATATGATTAAGAAAGCTAACAAGACATATAATATGCATGTATATATGTGTCTGTATCTGTGTGTTTATATGTATATGCATATATAACAAAATAAATCCCAGATGACAAAAAGCCTTAATTGTAAGAATTTATTTATAAAGATACTATGCAACAATAAGATAAATGTATTTATTGGAATAGAATAGGCCATTCTGAATGAGACAGGAACCAAGAATCTATAAAGAAAAGTTTTAGGTAGTTTTACTGCTTAATAGTGCACTACTTTTATATGATAAAAATAACCTAGACAAAGTTAAGTGACAGATGATACATTGTGAAAAATAAGTACATGGCTAATTTCAGGCAAAAGGCAAATTTGATTTGCAAAGATCTCCTGGAAGTTAGTAAAAAAAAATTATATTAAAGAAGTGAGAAAGTTATATACGTAACTATTTCTCAGACTAAAAATATAAATGTTAAACAGTGTATTAAAATTCAATCTCACTTTAATAAATATGAATAAAAGTAATAAATAGATAACATTTTAACCTATCAGATTGGCAACTGTTTAAAGGTTTTGATGCAATTCAATGTTGGCAAATATATGAGGAAACAAGATATCTTTAATATTTCACAAAAGATGCCAAGATAGCTGTACAGGATATTAACATTACTATTACCATAACTATTCATAATAGTAATAAAGCCAGATTAAACATCTATCAGTCAGGAGATAGTTAAAATGTATAACTATATACTATAGCTATTAACCCAGAATGAGGTAAATCTATGTGTTTGGGTATGAAAAATATGGAATCCCATTGGTGAAGATAAACAAAGAAATGTATATATGTGAGTATAAATGCTTTACTAGAAAGATAAATTTTTAAAAATGTAGTTAATTTTGAGGAAATATATGGATGTGATTAAATGTGGGAAGGAAAGAGTAGACTTTGTATTTCACATCAGAGACTTTCATATACATTTTTTTTCTTTTACCATTTACATGCAATATACATTTTCATGTCAGCAGCGTTCCAAGAGTGATAAAATTAAGACTTTTTTAAAAAATTTTTCTTCCCTAGAATCTTTAATAAGCAGAATGAAAGAATTAAGATTAAAATGAACGTCTGCTACTTTCATGATTAGATTATTTTTAATTTGTTTTATTTATTTATTTATTTTTTTGAGACAAGGTCTCACTCTGTCACCCAGGCTGAAGCGCAGTGGGCTCAAGCAATCCTCCCACCTCAGCCTCCCAAATAGCGGGGACTATACGCACATCTGGCAAATTTTTATTTTTGTAGAGATCTTGCTATGTTTCCCATGCTGGTTTCAAATTTCTGGCCTCAAGTGATCCTCCTGCAATAGCCTCCCAAAGTGCTGGGATTGCAGGTGTAGGCCACACCATGCTCAGCCTGTGAACAGATAATTTTACAAGCATTTTCCCCCAGACTGTACTCCTGGGTGATTTTTTTCCTAGATATTTTAATACCAGAGTTGGAGTTAAGCCATGTATTGAATAATCATAGCTTGAAGTGATATTAAACTTGAAGTGGAATTTTCTCCCATCACTCTTTCAAATAACATATATGTATGTATATCAAATCATCTGTCCCAATTCCTAAATCATTGCACAGTTTTCTAGTCCCTTTCAGTTAATTAAAATCACAATCAGGTCCACTTTAAACCTCTGATCTCATCTCTCCTTCAGCCCTGACCTTGGCTGGAGGGACCTAGGTACGAATAGCTCTTTTAATCCTTTTCCTCTCACTTCAACGTTGGGGCAGGAAGGAAACATTAAAGGAAAGAGAAAATCTTTTCACTGAATTGGGCATGACAGAAGTACAGCATTTCTTTGGGGTGGCTGTTTCCAAAAGTCCCCTTTAATACATGTGTTAATTCTTTGGAAGGCCCTTGGGAAGCCTCCTCATTGCCCTGTTGCCTAGTGTATGAGACTAATTCTAACCCTATCAACCTCTTTTAACCCATTGCCTTTCCCTATGGGATGGAAAGCCTCAGCTAGGCAAATCACATTTGATTCTACTGACTAATTCTCACTCTCATTCCTCTTTTACTGTTGCACCTTTATATTGATGTAGGCAGGGGATTTGGATTGTGAGTCAGCCAGCCTCTGATATGATGTAGAATGAAAGATGTACAGGCTCATATTGGGTCCAATTCCAAGACAACAGGAAGGTTACCACTCAATTTTATTTTCCACTAAATTCTCCCTAAATATACTAAATACACCCCAACAGCTAGCTATCTTTGTAAACTTAAGTAAGTCTTTGGTGCTAGAATTCTTTAACATATCCTAAATTTCTTGTTAGATTTAAGCTTTCTTGAGAACATTACTAATTTGATAGTGCTAATATTCTGTGCCTAGAAAAAGAGAAATGATAAGACATAATGCTGAAGTTATAAACCAAAATAGGATTCTATATAGCATTTTATTCCATAAAAATGAGCTTGAATTTTTCCCTCTCAGTAATGAGAAGCCGCTGAAAATAACCCTGGGTCAGAATAACTAGCTGTTTCATTCGAATTTACCCTGGCTGCTGTAGAACATTTGAGGAAAAGTTGGCTGTTTTGAAGCACCAGACTCACACCTATATGAGTTTGTTTCTAAATTCAGTAAGTAAAGCAAACACCATTGAAGGTTGTCAGAAACTCCTTAAAAATTAACTGGGAAAATGCCAGTTTGGGATCAACATACCATCTCTAAATAGTCACAACACAGGCAATTTTCTTTCCAATTGGAATATGTCTGCTGTGTGCTTAAGTGGTTGGTGAGTTCACATTTAGTGTTATATTGTACTTCTATGAAAAGTCTAGACTCACTTAGGGAAGCAAATAGCTCACGCATGAAAGAGACATGCAGGAACCAAGACCTCTTTCTGATTCTGAAGTGAAATAGTGGGTGGAATTGCCTATGCTATTCTAGTATACTTTTCCTCTTTAGTTTCAGAGAATGAGTAAAGCTAATTATGTTAAAGTTAGTTATATAATATGGCTCCATCATTATCTCAAGAGAGCATTTAAAGAAAAATGTAGAAAATTATATCAAAAGCTACAAAAATAAAATTAGATGAATATATTAGTTTTCTAGTTCTGCTGTAACAAATTACTACAAACTTGATCGCTTAAAACAACATACCTCCTAAGAAGAATGGAAAAAAGTCAATGTTTACATGGAATCTTAGACAAGAAAAAAAAATGTGATTTGGGGAATGATAGGATTTAAAAGAGACACAAATTATACTCCAGATATCAGTTTGGAATAGAGACAAATAGAGTCGTTATTTATTATAAGAACTTTAAAATGTTTAATATAAATTGGGAGAGAGATTTTTATTTTAATTACATTTAGTAGAGCTGTCGATATATATACAAGTCTACAGTTGTGGGTAAAGATATAAGTTGAAAAATAAGATTTGGAGTCATTCACCTATATGATATTTAAAGCAGGGAGCATAGATCAGGGTTCTTCACTTTGGCACTATTGACATTTTGTACAGGATAATTCTTTATGTGGTGAGCTGTCCTGTGTATCATTTAGTGGTTTTTTTCCTCCAGAAGTCTGTAGCACCCTCCAGTTGTAAGGAAAATATCTTCAGACATCATCAAATGCCTCCTGGAGGATAAAATTGCCCCTGATTGAGAACCGCTAGCATAGATGACAGAACCAAGGCAAAGAGTTTGATTGAAATTTGAGGGATGAAGAGGAATCACTGGTGTTATGCCAATATTTGTTGATAGTTAGAAAAAGGGTCATCCTGAAAGGGTACTGATAAGATTTGCTCAAATCTCATGTCAAATTGTAATTGTCATGCCAAAATCTCATGTCAAATTATAACTCCCAGTGTTGGAGGAGGGGGTCTGCTGGGAGGTGATTGGATCATGGAGTGGATTTCTCCCTTGATGTTCTTGTGATAGTGAGTGAGTTCTCAAGAGATCTGGCTGTTTAAAAGCACTTTCCCATTCTCTCTATTCCTCCTGCTCCAGCCATGTAGGACGTGTCTACTTTCCCTTCCCCTTCCACCATGATTGTAAGTTTCCTGAGACCTCCACAGCTGTGATTCCTGTACAGCCTGTGGAACCATGTGTCAATTAAACCTCTTTTCCTTATAAATTACCCAGTTTCAGATATTCTGTTATAACGGTGTGAGAATAGACTAATACATGTACTGAGGGGAGGGTCTGTTCTAAACAAAGGAGGAAAACCAGAAGAATAGAGCATCAGAACTATTAGAGGAAATTGAAGAGGCGGAGGATCATGGTGGACGGGAGGCAGGATTAGATTGCAGCTCCGACTCGGATGGACAGAGCAGCATGTGGAGGCTGGCATCATGAATTTTTGCTCCAGAATGACTGCAGGAATATATCATGATACCTGAGAGGACCCCCTGAGGGAAGCAGATTGCTCCTGCAGGACCCGGGAGACACGCCAAATACTGTGAGTGTCCAAACTGTGGAAGTGGGAAAGGGAGATCATCCTCCCCTCAACACAAACCCACACTGGGGAAACTGAAGGTCTAGATTAAGAGAGATTCTGACCTTACCTGGGGCTGAGTCAACTTAGAAAGCTGAGTGCAATACAGAGGTAGAGGAAGCAGCGGGAAAAGCCTTGGGAGCTCGCTGGGTCCCCTAGCAACTCATTTTTGCCTGGTCTCACAGGGGTCCTCCAGGAAGGCAACTAGAGGTGCTGAGAAAAGGCCACACAGAGAAGGAAACCTCCAACTAAACTTTGTAACAATTTGAACTGATAGAGAAGCCTCCTGGCTAGAACTCAGGGGAGGGTGTGAATTCGGTGTGCAGACGCCACAGGTGGAGAAAGAAGGAAAGCCATACTTGATTTTGCTGCTGGGAGGTGGGTAGCCTGGGGCAAGTTCTCAGTCCTGCTCGCCCACTGCCTGGAAACAGACTCAATGCTGTTGCGGGGAGCATGGTGGAAGTGAGACCAGCCCTTTGGATTGCAAGGGAGCTAAGTGAGGCCGACTTTCCCCCAGTTCCCTGACAACCTGCATAATGGAGACAGTCATAATCCTCCTAGGAATATAACTCCATTGACCTGGGAACCTCACCCCCAACCCCCACAGCAGTCATAGCAAGACCTGCCCAAGGGGAGTCTGAGCTCAGACACACCTAGCCCTGCCCCCAGCTAATGGTCCTTCGCTACCCATCCTGGTAACAAAGGGTATATACTCTTGCAAGTTGTAGGGCCCTGCCCACCACCTGTTCCTCCTTTTATAACCACAGCTGATGCTCTCTGGAGAGCCCCACTTCCTGGCAGGAGGCCAACCAGCACAAAAATCATGCATTAAACCACCAAAGGTAAGAACCTTCACAGAGTCCATTTCACTCCCCTGCCACCTCCACCAGAACAAGTGCTGGTATCCACGGCTGAGAGTCCCACTGATGGTTCACATCACAAGACTCTGGGTAGAAAACCCCCAATACCAGCCTGGACCTTGATAGACTTGCTGGGTGGCTAGATCCAGAACAGAGATAACAGTCACTTCAGCTCAGCTCTCAGGAAGCCACATCCATAGGAAAAGGGTGAGAGTACTATATCAAGGGAACACCCTGTGGGGCAAAAGAATCTGAACAACAGCCTTCATCCCTAGACTTTCCCTCTGACAGAGCCTACGCAAATGAGAAGAAACCGGAAAACCTATTCCGGTAATATGACTAAACAAGGTTCTTTAACTCCCCTACCCGCCCAAAAAATAATCACACTATCTCACCAGCAATGGAGCCAAACAGAAAAGAAATCCCTGATTTACCTGAAAAAGTATTCAGGAGGTCAATTATTAAGCTAATTAGCGAGGCACCAGAGGAAGGTGAAGCCCAAAGTAAGGAAATACAAAAAAAAAAAAAAAAAAAATGACAGAAGTGAAGGGAGAAATATTCAAGGAAAGAGATAGCATAAAATATAAATCAAAACTTCAGGAAACAATGGACACACTTATAAAAATGCAAAATGCTCTGGAAAGTCTCAGCAATAGAAGTGAACAAGTAGAAGAAAGAAATTCGGTCTCGAACACAAGGTCTTTGAATTAGCCCAATCCAACAAAGACAAAAAAGAATAAGAAATGTGAACCAAGCCTCAAAGAAGTCTGGGATTATGTTAAATGACCAAACCTAAAAATAATCAGTGCTCTTGAGGAAGAAGAGAAATCTAAAAGTTTGGAAAACATATTTGGGGGAATAATCTAAGAAACCTTCCCTGGCCTTGCTAGAGATCTAGACATTCAAATACAAGAAGCATGAAGAACACCTGGGAAATTCATCGTAAAACTATCATCGCCTAGGGAGATTGTCATCAGGTTATCTAAAGTTAAGATAAAGGAAAGAATCTTAAGATCTATGAGACAAAAGCAGCAGGTAACCTCTAAAGGAAAACCTATCAGATTAACAGCAGATTTCTCAGCAGAAACCCTACAAGCTAGAAGGGATTGGGGCCCTCTCTTCAGCCTCCTCAAACAAAACAGTTATCAGCCAAGAATTTTGTATCCAGCAAAAAAATAAGCCTCATATATGAAGGAAAGATACAGTCTTTTTCAGACAAACAAATGCTGAGAGAATTTGCCACTACCAAGCCACCAAAACAAGAACTGCTAAAAGGAGCTCTAAATCTTGAAAGAAATCCTGAAAACACATCAAAACAGAACCTCTTTAAAGCATAAATCTCATAGGACCTATAAAACAAAAATACAATTTAAAAAACAAAAAAACCCCCAAAAATCCAAGGTATACAGGTAACAAATAGCATGCATGGAATGGTACCTCGTATCTCAATACTAACATTAAATGTGAATGGCCTAAATGCTCCATTTAAAAGATACTGAATTACAGAATAGATAAGAACTCACCAACCAACCATCTGCTGCCTTCAGGAGACTCACCTAACACAAAAATACTCACACAAACTTAAAGGGGTGGAAAAAAGGCATTTCATGCAAATGGACACCAAAAGTGAGCAGGGGTAGCTATTCTTATATCAGACAAAACAAATTTTAAAGCAACAACAGTTAAAAAAGACAAAGAGAGACATTATATAATGATAAAAGGCCTTGTCCAACTAGGAAAATAGCACAGTCCTAAACATATATGCACCTAACACTGGAGCTCCCAAATTTATAAAACAACTACTAATAGACCTAAGAAATGAGATAGCAACACAATAGTAGTGGGGGACTTCAATACTCCATTGACAGCACTAGACAAGTTATCAAGACAAAGTCAAAAAAGAAACAACGGATTTGAACTATGCTGTGGAACAAATGGACTTAACAGATATATACAGAACATTACATCCAACAACAGCAGAATATACAATCTATTTAAGAACACATGGAACTTTCTCCAAGATAGACCACATAATAGGCCACAAAATGAGCCTCAGTAAATTTAAGAAAATTGAAATTATATCTAGCACTCTCAGACCACAGTGGAATAAAACTGGGAATCAACTCCAACTTCAAAACCATGCAAATACCTGGAAATTAAATAACCTGCTCCTGAATAAACATTGGGTCAATAATGAAATCAAGATGGAAATTAAAAAAATTCTTCAAACTGACAACAATAGTGACATAAACTATCAAAACCTGTGGGAGAAAGCAAAGGTGGTGCTAAGAGGGAAGTTCAGAGCCCTAAACACTTGCATCGAAAAGTCTGAAAGAGCACAGACAATCTAAGTCTACACCTCAAGGAACTAGAGAAACAAGAACAAACCAAATCCAAACATAGCAGAAGAAAGGAAAAAAACAGGATCAGAGCAGAACTAAATGAAACTGAAACAAAAAATATGAAAGATAAATAAAACAAAAAGCTGGTTCTTTGAAAAGATAAATAAAATTGATAGACCATTAGGAAGATTAACCATGAAAAGAAGAGAGAAAATCCAAATAAGCTCAATAAGAAATGGGAGATAATATAACTGATATCACAGAAATACAAAAGATCATTCAAGGTTACTATGAACACCTTTACATGCATAAACTAGAAAACCTAGAAGAGATGGATAAACTCCTGGAAAGACACAACCCTTCTAGTTTAAATCAGGAAGAAGTAGATACCCTGAACAGACCAATAACAGCAAGATTGAAGTGGTAATTAAAAAAATTACCAACAGAAAGAAGTCCAGGACCAGACAATTCTATCAGACATTCAAAGAAGTCTTGATACCAAGAAAAAGAGGGATCCCTTCCTAAATAATTCTATGAAGCCAACATCACCCTAATACCAAAACCAGGAAAGGATATAGCCAAAAAAGAAAATATAGACCAATATCCCTGATGAACATAGTTGCTAAAAATCCTTAACAAAATACTAGCTAACAAAATCCAACAACATGTCAAAAAGATAATATCCATAATGATCAAGTGGGTTTCATACTAGGGTTGCAGGGATGGTGTAATATATACACGTCCAGAAATGTGATTGTAGCTCACTGCAGCCTCGAACTCCTGGGTTCACACAGTCCTCCCACCACAGCCTCCCAAAACACTGGGATTGCAAGCATGAGCTGCCATGCCTGGCCAGCCTATTTTTGGCTGGACACCAGTGGGCCAAAAGCAGTGGGGTGCTGTCTGGGGAGCTCTGAGCATGCACTTGTGTGACAGGCTGAGCCTAAAGACTGTTATCCAGTGTCTGCCCTCCAGTGTGTAGCATGCTGCGCACTGTCGCTCCATGTTGCTGCCCACGTGTCCCCACCAGGCAGGTGTTGGTGGTTATCTGGACACTGAAGGGTCAGACCTGGAAAACTGGGACCAAAAGATGAGGTCTCCATAATTTAAGGTGCTGTTAAGAGTTCGTTCAGGTCATAGGACTTCTTTCATCTCACCCTTCCTTGGAATCCTCCTGCTTTCATCTGGGGATCTTTTAGAATGAAACCACTTGTTATTGTGGAGGGCAAGGTGTCCTAATGCCCTCCTCTTAGAACCTGAGCCAGTCGAGGCAGCTGCATCTGTCTACATGTTTTATCTGCAGAGATAAATAGTTATTGAGCTTTTTTTGTTTGGCCTTGTTTTATTATACCATAAAAAAGATTTTCCTCTTAAAAAAAAAAAGAAATGTGATACACCACATAAACAGTATTAAAAACAAGCATCGTATGATTATCTCAATAGATGCAGAAAAACAATTCTACAAAATCCAGCATCCCTTTATGGTTAAAACTCTCAGCACAATTGGCATACAAGAGATGTACCTCAATATAATAAAAGCCATCTATGACAGACCCACAGCCAACATAATACTGAATGGGAAAAAGTTGGAAGCATTCACTCTGAGGACTGGAACAAAACAAGGATGCCCACTCTCACCACTCCTCTTCAACATAGTACTAGAAGTCCTAGCCAGAGCAATCAGAAAAGAAAAAAAAAATAGAGGGCATCCAAATAGTAAAGAGGAAATCAAACTGTCACTGTTTGTTGATCACATGATTGTTTACCTAGAAAACCCTAAAGACTCCTCCGGAAAGCTCCTAGAACTGATAAAGGAATTCAACAAAGTTTCTGGATACAAGATTAATGTACATAAATCAGTAGTTCTTCTATATACTAACAGAGACAAGGCTGAGAATCAAATCAAGAACTCAACCCCTTTTACAATAGCCGCAAAAAAAAAAAAATTAGGAATATACCTAAGGAAGTGAAAGACCTCTACAATGAAAGCTAGAAAACACTACTGAAAGAAATCATAGACAAAACAAACAAAAGGAAACACATCCTATGTTCATAGATAGAATCAATATTGTGAAAATGACCATACTGCCAAAAGCAATCTACAAATTCAATGCAATTCACATCAAAATACCACCATCATTCTTCACAGAATTAGAAAAAACAATTCTAACATTCATAGGGAACCAAAAAATGAGCCCGCATAGCCAAAGCAAGACTAAGCAAAATCACATTACCTGATTTCAAACTGTATTATGAGGCCATAGTCAACAAAACAGCATGGTACTGGTATAAAAATAGGCACATAGGCCAATGGAACAGAGTGGAGAACCTGGAAATAAACCTAAATACTTACACCCAACTGGTCTTCAACAAGGCAAACAAAAACAAATGGGAAAAGGACACCCTTTTCAACAATGGTGCTGGGGTAATTGGCTAACTACATGTAGGAAAATGAAACTGGATCCTCATCTCTCACCTTAAAAAATCAGCTCAAGTTGGACTAAGGACTTAAATCTAAAATCTGAAACTATAAAAGTTCTAGAAGATAACTTTGGAAAAAAGCCTTCTAGACATTGGCTTAGACAAGAATTTCATGACCAAGAACCCAAAAGCAAATGCAATAAAAACAAAGATAAATAGCTGGGACTTAAACTAAAGAGCTTTTGCATGGCAAAAGGAGCAGTCAGCAGAGTAAACAGACAACTACACAGTGGGGGAAAAGTCTTCACAAGCTGTACATCTGACAAAGAACTAATATCCACAATCTACAATGAACTCTAACATGGAACAAGCAATTCCATCAAAAAGTGGGCTAAGGACGTGAATAGACAATTCTCAGAAGAAGATATACAAATGGACAACAAACATGAAAAAAATGCGCAACATTGCTAATGATCAGGGAAATGCAAATCAAAACCACAATGTGATACGACCTTACTCCTGAAAGAATGGCCATAATCAAAAAATCACAAAATAGTAGATGTTGGCATGGATACAGTAGACAGGGAACACTTCTATACTGCTGGTGGGAATGTAAACTAGTACAACCACTATAGAAAACAGTGTGGAAATTCCTTAAAGAACTAAAAGTAGAAGTACCATTTGATCCAGCAATCCCACTACTGAGGAAAATAAGTCATTATATGAAAAAGATACTTGCATGGGCATGTTTATAGCAGCACAGTGCATAATTGCAAAAACGTGGAACTAACCCAAATGCCCATCAATCAATGAGTGGATAAACTGTGGTGTATACACACACACACACACACACACACACACACACACGATGGAATACTACTCAGCCACAAAAAAAAGCAATGAATTAATGGAATTTGCAGTGACCTGGCTGAGATCGGAGACTATTTTAAGTGAAGTAACTCAGGAATTGAAAAGCAAACATCATATGCTCTCACTCATAAATGGGAGCTAAACTATGAGGATGCAAAGGCATAAGAATAACACAATGGACTTTGGGGACTCAGGCAGAAGGGTTAGGAAGGGGGTGAAGGATAAAAGACTACAAATAGGGCCGGGCGTGGTGGCTCACACCTGTAATCCCAGCACTATGGAAAGCCGAGGTGGGAGGATCATTTGAGGTCAGGAGTTCAAAACCAGCGTGGCCAACATGGTGAAACCCCATCTCTACCAAAAATACAAAAATTAGCCAAGTGTGGCAGTAGGTGCCTGTAATCCCAGCTACTCTGGAGGCTGAGGCAGGAGAATTGTTTGAGCCCAGGAGCCAGAGGTTGCAGTGAGCAGAGATGCGCCACTGCATTCCAGCCTGGGTGACAGAGTGGGACCCTATCTCGGAGGGTGGGAGAAAAAAAACAACTACAAATAGGGTGCAGTGTATACTTCTTGGGTGATGGATGCACCGAAATCTCACAAATCACCACTAAAGAAGTTACTTATATAACCAAACACCATCTGTTTCTTAATAACCTATGGAAATATAAAATAAATATGGGAGATCAATTCAAGAAAGAAATGGTAAATTATATCACAAGCTGTAAAAATAAAGTAAGATAAATCTATTGGTTTTCACTGCTGATGTAACAAATTACTGTACTCTTGGTGGCTTAGCAAACACAAATTTGTTTTCATGTAATTGTGAACATCAGACATCTAACAAAGGTCTTCGTGAGCTAAATTTAGGAGTCAGTAGGGCTGTGATCATTTCTGGAGGCTCCGGGGAGAATCCGGCTCCTTGCCGTTTTCAGCTTTTAGGTGTTGCACTCATTCCTTGGCTCATGGCTCTTCTTGAGTCTTCAAAACCAGCAACATCACATCTGTCTGATCCTTCTTTTGTTGTCAAATCTCAGTCTCTGTTTTGAGCCACAGTTGGAAAATGTTCTGCAATTTGAAGGTTTCATGTAATTAGATAGAACTTACTTGAATAAACCAGATCATCTCCTCGTCTGACTCACCTTAACTTAATTACATCTCAGTTTCTTTTGACATATAAAATAACACATTCACAGGCTCAGGATTACGACATTGACATTTGGGAGAGTTTTATTTTGCCTACCACAATGAATACATTAAACACATTTAGATTTAGCAGTAAGAAAATCTCATTTCAGGAATAGAAAATGAAATACTATATGTTCTCACTTACAAGTGGGAAGTAATGTACAATGTACACTACTGAGGTGACTGGTGTACTAAAGTCTCAGACTTGACCACTATACAACTCACCCATGTAACCAAAAACCACATGTACCCCAAAAGCTATTGAAATAATAAAAGATGATCACATTTTACCTTGTTGAGAGCATCTCAGAGGAATGGGGAAGGCGAGAAGTTAGATTTCAGTGCGTTAAAGAGTACATAGCAGCTGAGGCAGAAGAACCAGTAAGTATATAAGCTTAGAGAAAAATATAAACAATAATATAATTAAATCTAGGGTACATGCCTCATAGCTTTGTTAATTTTTAACACCTTGCTGTATATGCTACAGATCGTTTTCCATTTCTTTTCTCTTTCTTCCTTCCTTTGCTTGCCTCCTTCTCTTGTGTATCTGTTCCCAACTCCATTGTATTTCCTGTTTTTGCAGAAGAAACCACTCCTGATTTTTTATTTCGTGGATGTTTTAAGATTTTACCATGTTTTAAGAATATCAATATGTTTATGGATACAAACATATTTTTTGCATGTTTTTGAAAGTTTTTAAAGTGTCCTTCTGTACTCTGTTTTTGAAATTTATGTATCTTGATAGCTATAATAGTAATTCACTTGTAATTACTGAATAGTATGCTATTGACTGAATGTAGCCTAATTTATTTATCTGCTGATAAATAAGTTGCTTCTGATTTTTATACTTTCTTTTTCTTTTTTAAATCAATCTTACTGATATTTTTATATTTTAAAGGTTTTCTTAAAATCAGTTTCTAGTCTATTAATCTCTAATATAGCCTTGCTTTCTACTTTGTTCCATTTAGTTCTCTTTATTTTTCCACTCTTCCACTTTTTTATTTTTTATTTGTTTTTGCAGTGACAAAGGAACATTTGTTTTTGTGCCTTTTTTTCCTGTGTGCATTTCAAGTCTTTTTCAAAACAAGGCCCCAGGAAACTCTAGATTCATTTATGTCCCTGGGCTTGGTCGACTGCTGCAGGAGTCTTAGGGAGCCTTGTACAAATGCTAGAGTTGCTCATTTACCAACATTAAACCCTGGAATAGACGATGCAGCAAAGCAGGACTCCTTCCTCCATGGAATGTGCTGATTTCAGATGAGGCGGCAGCCAGTATAGAAAATGCTGGAATGTTTCCTTGGAACTGGACTGTGATGAGAGGTGCTTGCCATGAACATAAGCTACTGTTCTGTACTGTACTGTACTGTACTGTACTGTTCTTCTCTTCTCTTCTCTTCCAGAGTATCGCTCTTGTTGCCCAGGATGGAGTGCAATGGGGCAATCTCGGCTTACTGCAACCTCCACCTCCTGGGTTCAAGCAATTCTCCTGCCTTAGCCTCCTGAGTAGCTGGGATTACAGGCATGCGCCACCATGCCCAGCTAACTTTTGTATTTTTAGTAGAGACAGGGTTTCTCCAAGGTCAGGCTGGTCTTGAACTCCCGACCTCAGGTGCTCCGCCTGCCTCAGCCTCCCAAAGTTCTGGGATTACAGGCATGAGACACTGCACCTGGCCAACTACTGTGTTGTCTTTGACCCTTCCTTTCCAGTTTTTGAAGATAAAGCAGGAAATAATCTTCTCCAAAGATACTTGATAAAAATTCCCCCCCCCAAATACAAAAACACATGCTTCCATTTAATTGATAAAAATTTACTGCAGTTTGGCACCTGGGTTCAGCTGGCGGATGAGCTGATTGATGTGTTCACCCTGATAGCCAGGTGTGCCCATCTCCTTGAGGAAGCCCACTCTTCTTTTGGTAGCATGAAGGGCCATTGAGAGGTGGAAAGGGTGCAAGAACCATGAAATCTCCTGGAAATGCTTTCTTAGGAAGGCAATTTCATGAATGAGGTCTTCCAAGCAAATGACACCAAACTTCCCCAGGTGTTCCTCAATCACTGTGTTGTCTGTCAGAGGGATGGTCTTATTATTGACCTTGGCTTGTCTACATTTCAGAATGAGTTACCAGACAGACTTCAGATTTGGAAATCCCCAGGTCACATAAGGTTCCACTATTCACAGCATTTTTAGGTTCTGTGTGGCGGGGGTGGGTGGTGGGATGACTTTTACAAAGACACCACTAAAAATTTTCTTTACGTGAAGTCTTGCAATGGTTCTCTGCACCAGTAAACTCATGCTGTCAATCCTTTCGATGCATACAACAAAGGCCAAGGAATGTTTATCTGGCAATTCCAAGGCATGAGGTTTCACTTCTAGTCATCTGAGATGCACCTTGTCACGGTTCTGCTGCTGGGAATCATGTAGGAAGAATTCTAGTTGCTTAAACCTGAGCTATTTTCCTTTCCTCTGCTCCTTCTTTGCCAAAAGTGTCTGCTTTGCCTGGGTAGCTTTGAGGGCTTGATAAGCTTTCCTCTTTTTTTTTTAGGAGATTTTCTGGAACCAAAGGGATTTTTCTTTGCTCCTGCTCCGCCATCTTTCTAGTGTTGCAGCTACTGATCCAGTCTTCCAGTTTATTTTCTGTGTCCTTTTTGAATTATGTGAAACCTATTCTTTGCTCAATATGCAAATAATAATCAGTATTTTATTGTAATATAAACTTTTCAGACCATAAAATTCTTCAAATTAATGTTTTATTTGCATCTCAGCGTTTTACATGTAATATTTCTTTTTGCTTTTAAATATTTTTTAATTTTCACTAAAATTTCTTTGTGTGTATATCCATAGCTGTTTAGAAATATGCTTCTAAATTTTCAAGTGAATGTGTTTCCTTTTACCATTATGTTACTGATGTCTGACTCAATACAGAAAATATGGTTTAATACATAATTTATTTTATTTATAAGGGAACCTTAAAGCATTTGCTTTGAAGAGGCAGCAAGAGTGATAGGCTTGGTTTATTAAATATAACATATTTATAATGAATGAAGGGCTCTTTTTCCATAAACGAAAAACTTGAGAATGTTAACATACTAATGAATGAAGCAGGAAAGTATGAGACGGAAATTGGGTGGTCTGATTTCCCGGAGCTGTAGGTGATGAATCCCCCAGATTTTGTTGAGCGGTCTTAGAAGGGAGTAGGGGAACCTCCTTCATTGTAACAAGAGAATGAAGAAAAATGTGTGTTACTGTAGGAAACTTCGTTGGTTGAGAATTTACAGAATTGATCACTATTTTCTGAAAAATATAAAGCAAAACTGTCTAATAAAGTAGATGGCAGGGATTAGTAGGAAGTTTGAGAAAACTAAAAAATATATGAAATTTTTCCTTAGAAAATAGCAAAATGGGAAACTTTTAGAAGTCTGTTAGACAGTTAGCTCTAGTAGCTAAAATGGGTCTCCATTAGTGATCTCTATGGGATCTCAGAATAAACTGTAAGCAACTTTCCACAGACTCTCATCTAAAATTGTTGTTGAAAATTGGGAGTAACTGTCCTCAAATCCCTATCCAAATTATATATAGTCCATTGTTTCCAGTTCCAGGTCCTTGGGGGTACATCCTTAATGCTCCATTCCATGCCGCCTGGCACAAGAACAATTTATATCTTTTCTTTAAAGAGAGAATTTCATTCTGGAAATGCTGAGCAGGTCTTAGTTAGTAGACTCTAGTTATATAAATTCAGAAATATTGAAGGCATTACATTTCCAAGATTTAATTTAGGATTCAAACTTTTTATTTAGCATGCACATTACACAGGTCTCAGTTTTGTAACTAAGTGCTCTTTCTACTTTAAAATCATTGTTGGCTTCAGTGCTGCCCCCAAATATCAGATTTATTTTGTGTTCACACCACCGTTTAGATCCCAAACACTCCTTAAGTTTGTGAATTTGTAATTCCTTTTTCCTGCTTTTGTCTATGTGTACACACACACACACACACACACACACACACACGCGCACTCTGCCAGTTGAAACAGTATCCACTCACAAAACATGTGACAAATAATCTCCCAGTTGAAGTCTGAGATCCTTGACTACCATAGACACTTATGAATAATCAAACTGTACAATATTTTATTACAGGTCTCAAATGGTTTGCCTATTTTATCCATATTGATTGTTTTCTTCTAGTGATCTCAAAGTAGGTGATTAAAAACCTAAGGTATACATTGTTGGTGATATTTTGTATGCTCTTCTGGAAAAAAAGGTGATCAACAGTCCAGGACTGAGTTTTTCCCAGAATTAAGGGGTTCCCAAGATGTGAGATTATCAGTTTTAAAAATGGAATAATCCTGGGAAAATTGAGACAATTGTTTATCCTATCTGAAAGCCAAACTAGATTCAAAGTTTGGGTTATCTAGATTTCTAGCCAGAATTCAATGTTTCCAACAGTTTGTCATTATTTAATTTTTTACTTATATTCATAAATGTGGAAGTTCCTCTAGTGTGTTCTGTCTTACAAGTTAGTCTCACAAGTTTTGTACAATATGCATTTTAAATGAGGTATATTTAAAAAAATGTAAGAAGCTAGCTTGGAGAAGTAATACTTCCTCAATAAAACTCTATTTGCTTTTATGTATACGAACATTTACAGAGAATGACATCTTAAAAAGTCTGGAAATAATTTGAGGTTACAGGCCATGAAACTTCATGCTTTAGGTCTAAAATAAAATGTCAAAATACTTCACCAGGTTTTTCAGACACAAAATAAAATAGGACAAATGAATGATTTGGGGGAATTTGAGATGAAGGATATTATCTGAATAATACAAGCAGAGAACAAAAGTGGAACTTTTTTAATTAAAGTTTTTTTCACACAGTTATGTTAATTTCTTTGGTTTGGACTTTAATAATACTTTAATAATGCACTAAATTAGAATATAGCACAGGTGATTGTGGAAATAAGTATTTTATTGTAAGGTTTCAGGGGCATATTCTAATGTATTAAAATGGTCTCAACTTCTTTGTCTAATATCCCACATTTGATGTTACACGAGGAGTAGGTGCAAATTTTGATGGAACACAAAGGAGCAAGTGAGAAAGTAGGCATTTTCCATAAAGTAAATGGGCAAATTTTTTAGCATGAGATATCAATTTTTGAAAACTTAAAGCATAGGAGAAGGGGGCATATTTACAGGTAAATAGTCAAATCTACTTGGTGATTTTGGTCCAAGTAGAACGGAAAAAAACCAATTTGCACAGAATGTAGTCTAACTTCTATTACACAAGTATGTTTCTGGACACTGTGGCCTAGTGAGAAAATATTTTGCAGACATGGAGATGCATGTATATCACTGAGAGATGGGGATAAACTGTTAGAAATAAACCAGCAATGATATTTTAAAACATCTTTGTTTTCCCACATAGTAATTAAAGCAAAGAGTTACTACTGTTCCTAGAAAGAACAGGAGGATGGTATCGCTATGTTTTCCTGGGAATACAATCTGTGTGGACACGGTCTGAAGATTTCCCAAAGGGGATTCATGACTTTTGAGAAGAAAGTCTAAACAAAATTACTCTCCTTTGATACAGGAGAATGAAGGAAGGTGAGAAGATCAATTACTTAGCATGTTCACAAAGACTGTACAATCAGAGGAGTGGTTTCTTGATAATGACAGGCTCCTGTGACAAGGCCTTCAAAGCACATCAAGGGGTTGATTGAGCTGCTGGAGCAGGCAGGCATATGTGGTTAGCTTTCTTTGTAAAAGAACAATGGAAACTGGTGTCACCAGGTGACTTACCTAATTTTCACCTGTTTGGAGTGAAAGAATGGGGGGCGGGCGCGGGTAGGTAGAGGTAGAGTCAGCAGCAACTGCCTTGCTCTTCTCTCCCTCCCCCATCTATCCCTGTTTTGTCTGACAGAGGGCAGATTAGGGCAGCTGAAGGAGTTAGAGGGACTCATGTTTTATAATAAACCTTCCCTGCTCTGTGGATTTGTCCACAAAGTTAATATGATTTATGCTGGATGGTAAGTTTAATTTGTGCTTTTAAATATGGATCAAGGACTTCATAGATTCCTTCCTCTAATCAACATTTATGGAGCACCTCATCAGAGCCTGGCACTGTGCTAGGTGGATTTTTGTAAAAACTGAAGATAGAAGGATTTTGAAATAGGTTTCATTCTATTTTGTCCATTTAGACTTTACCAGTAGCTATTAATTCTGATAATAAAGGGCAAGAAAAACAGAACATTGCTCTCCTCTCCCTAACTGCCCCCCCATTTCCCATGATGTATGTTTGACATTTCCATGATTATTAAAGTTTGAATAATGAAATATTTGGGGATTTGTGCATATTTCCCCCTTTACCTGCTAATTTTTAATGAGTAGTCAAATTAAGACATGACGGGGCAAGGGCTATGTTGCGAGAAGGTTCTGTATTATTTAAAACTGAATTATTCTGTTCCTAAATCTGGAGGACCTCACAACATGGAGGCTGTTTTATCTAAATCTAGAGAGTACTTCTGGAAGTTTCTTGAAAGCCCAATTTTTCTTCCTTTTTCGTATTAATTTGTTTATAACACTGCCAAATACATTGATTTATCCTCTTACCTACTGTCAAAGCAGCCCAGCTCTGATGTTGAACATGGGCCATTTCAGGTAATCTATCATAAAATGGCTCAACAATGCCAAGTTTCTTTAAACCCCTTTCTGAATGTGTTTTCTTACTCAAAAGCAGCTGCTTTGTGGAGTGACCCCTGCACCTGGTGTGTCAAGATTCAATAACTAATTGAATACACAGTGATTTCGGTTCTCCACCTGAGACAGCACTGATAATGAAATGGAGACCTATCTCAGACAGCAGAACCTATAAATTAGCTTAGTAGTCCATCAATCTAAGCCCTGTCAAAAAAAAAATGAGAGAAAGAGAAAAAAAGAATAACTGTTAGAAAATTATACCCTTCCACATTTGTATCCAACAAGCAAATAATCATCAGCACACTGAATCTGTGTTAGGAAGGGGAATAAATATAGCCTTCTATTAAAATCCTTAGCACATAGAAAGAAATGAAAGCACTTACTTGGGCTGAACACATTTTATTTAACAATGAAGGTCTAAATCCCAATTTTATCTTCACTGTCATGAGTACTCCCTATTTTTATATATAATAGGTACTATTGTACAAAATATATGCTCCTTACAGTATAAGGGTGAGGCAATCTAACAAATCTGATGCTTCAGGTGAGTTGCCAGAGACACAGGCTCTGAAATAAAGTTTAGTATGCGTAAAGTTTATTAGGAAATGTCCCAGGAAGGGAATGAAGGTGGATCATGTGGAGGAAGAAGCTGGGCTCCAGTGCAGGAATACCAAAACCTCAGCCTCCTTCATGAGGAGCCTGATGTTTGGATTTACCCTCCAAGTTGCCCAGATTTGGGATCAGACTCATATACTTGAACAGTCCTTGTATGAATGCTGCTCCAAGGAGGCACCATGACATTGGCCGTGGAGTCTCAGAGTGGGCTTGGGCATCAAAGGCTTAGCTGAGAGCACTTTCTACACTGTAGGGAACAATCTTGGGACTCCTGGAAAGCGGGCCTGAACACAGCACAGTGTTCACTACATCAGGAAAGTGACAGCTGTCACAAGCTACGGTAAGCATCCAGACAGATTCAGGAATAAAACAAAGAGTTCAGGAGAAATCTGGGTAGTTAACTGTTGTATTTCTTCCCAGAATAAGTGCTACTGAAACCCCTTGAACATGAATGTCCCACTGTTAATTTCCTGATTTTTTTTATTCTTTAGGCATTCTTTGGTAAGATGAAGTAGTTTGACTCTACATAGGCATATCATAAATTTCACATGAGAGTTTAACAAACAGAGAGGTTTTTAATAACATCCTCCAGAGCAGAGTGTACGTAAGCTCAGAAAATGGTCAGTCACAGGTGTCATCACCTTCCCAGGGTTGTTTGTTGTTGTTCATGGAATATTCTGGAAAGAAATAGGTAAGCTACTACAGACCACGCAGGTTGGTTTTGTGGACTGAATTCTGTCCCTTGCCAAAATCCATACGTTGAAGCCCTAATCCCCAAAATGACTGTATTTGAAGATAGGACCATTATGGAGGTAATTAAGTTTAAATGATATAAAAAAGGTGATGCCCTAATCCAATATAACTGGCGTCTAAGAGGAGGATGAGCTACCACAGTTCTAGTTCTCTCTACATGAGCACGGAGGAAGGAAGGCCACGTGAGGATACAGCGAAGATGTTTATTAGACCAGAAACTGATTTGGTCAACACATCAAGCATGGACTTCTAGCCTCCAGAGCTGTGAGAAAATATTTCTGTTGTTTAAGCCAGACTATCTGTACAATTTCATTATGGCAGCCCAAGCAGACTAATATAGCTGGTTACATGGTTAGCAAATAGAGGGGCCATCAGTTTAGTCTCTTTGCACTACATAAAACTGGAGATAATGAATAAAGAAAGACAACTTGCATGTAAAAACAAGTTACAGGAGTTTGAATAGTTGACATAAATTAGTTGACATGAAATAGTTGACTATTACAAGCATAGGCAGTTAACTGGTGCTTTAGAAGAAAATTATATTACAGGATGCGAAAACCTTCTCAAAGGAAAGATGTGAAGAAAAGTTCGGGATAATGTGGCATTGACATGTTAATCTAGGTCAAGTCTTCAAAACCTTAGCACTATTGACATTTTGGGCCTGATAATTCTTTGTTGTTGGGGGCTGTCCTGTGTGTTGTAGAATATCTAGTAGCATCCGTGGGTTCTACCCACTAGGCGCCAGCAGCAATCCTTATCCCAAAGTGATGACAATCAAAAATGTCTCCAGACATTGCCAGAAGTCCCCTAGGAGACAAAATTGTCTCCCTACCTCTTTTTGAAAACAATTGATCTTTAAATAATATATTCTCAGAGATAGCCAGGAATATGAGTGCATGCACTGTTAAGGTAAGCCTAGGGAGGAACTGTGTTTTAATTACACATTAAAAACAAAACAAAACAAAAAAAAAAGAGCTGTTTTGTGTGTGGTGTCTTTTGTTCCTTGAATGAATGTGTTCCTCGCTATATATTTGTCATTTGCTAAGTCAAAGTCAAGGTAGTTGTGTGTGCAATGGAAATGGTGTAATTGGAAATGATGAAAATTGGGTGTAGAAAGAATGAAAAACATAATGGAGAAAGTCGCTGGCTGTTTAATGTAATCCTCAGGAGATTTTTTAACTTCAGGGGTGGTTTATCACTGGAAATATCTAATAGTTACATTTTTAAAAGGCAAATATGATAATCAAGTCTTTCTTCGACTATGTGATAAGAGCCAAATTATTTCATTCTTTATCTGAATTTTTAATAGAAGTTTTGAATGTTTGCATATATTAGGAGTCCTTTTCTCATTTTGCAAATATGTGAATTGAAGAAAATGCAATTTAATGTTACCTGATTCTAAGCTACTGCATATGTTATGTTGCATGAGACACTAATATAACATAATGTTAGATAATGAAATGGACATTTCAGATTATGCTATCACTTCTTTTTTCTCTTAGGGACAGATTTCTTATGATGGTTAAATGTTTAATGCTATATGAGGTTTATTAAGCAGAAGCATCCCATTTCCTTTCACACACTTAGAAAATAAACATTGTGCCGGATTTATCTGTTCCCACAGCTGTGTGTTTGTAAATGTCAGAGCAAGACATGTTATGTTAGATTGGAATCTATTATCATTCATGACAAAAAGTTGCATTTGAATAGTTATGAGTAAGGGACAGAAAGCAACTAAAGGAAATTCACAATTACATTCTTCTAGAACCTAAAGCAATAATAAAAGAATCTATGATTTGCCTAGTTTTTATGAAAAATTTGCTTTCAAATTTCTTGTCTTTCTTGGTCTTGTGCCAATTTTTGAAACCCCAAGTAGGTTTATATTCGAGGCTTTTTCTTGTAGGCAATGGAAATGTTAACTGTCTTTGTAGTTGTAGATTGTGTTTAGCTTAGTTGTTTTCAGATCCTATTCCTCTTCCCTCAATGAAATGAGTATTACATCCATCAACCAAAGGTAGCATTGCTGTCCATTTGCAAGTGACTACGTAACCAGCAAGAGAAACAAAAATGCAGCGTTTTAAGAAATGAACAGTAACAGTCACCAAAATAAATTATCACAGTAGTCTTTCAGCAACATTAGACTCCTATTTCCTGAATACTTTTGATTTATTTTCTATTTGTGTTCTTTATACTTTCTTCCAACTGAATACCTTCATACCTTCAGTCTCTGATTAAATGATTCTGAATTTAAATGCCATCTCTTTTATGACATCTTTAGAGACCAGAAAATCCATTGTTTTTTAAAAAAAATTCTAGGTTCCCTTGGCCTTCAACTCCTGTGAACAACATGCTTTCCCTTTTACTGATAGCTTCCCACCTCAGCTCCTGGTGTTCAGTCATTAACCAACCATTTTTATTTCCAGATGTTCTTCTTTTACCTGGACATAAAATGGCTCCAGGATGGCTTTGTCACTCAAGTCCTCTATATCTGTGTTGGGAAACAATTCTCCATGAATCTTTTCTAATTCTATGTCTTTTGGGCAGAGGCACTTTCTGCGTTTGTGCTAGACTCTCTTTTCAAGATGTATGTATAGGGAGCAATCTTAGAAGATGGAAAATTTCAGGCTGGGCACAGTGGCTCACACCTGTCATCCCAGCACTTTGAGAGGCCAGGGTGGGCAGATCACTTGAGGTCAGGAGTTCCAGAGCAGTCTGGCCAACGTGGTGAAATCCTGTCTCTACTAAAAATATAAAAATTAGCGAGAAATGGTCACGGGTGCCTGTAATCCCTGCTACTTGGGAGACTGAGGCGTGAGAATTGCTTGAACCCAGGAAGCGGAGGTTGCGGTGAGCTGAGATTGTGCCACCGCACTCCAGTCTGGATGACAGAGCAAGAGACTCCATCTCAATTAAAGAAAAAAGAAAATTTCTACCTCTAGAATAAAGACTGATTTGTTTACTGTTCAGTATAATAGAGATAATATTTCCCTCTGATGCAAAGATCATACAGACTACTATTGCTCATTATAAAAGACATGTGTTTCCTAAGCTCAGGATTCCTCTCCTGTAGTACATCCCACTGTGTGTTCAAGTCTCACTTGGTCTACTTTATATAACTCTGTGGGAAGTTGGGTTTCCACTTCTAGTGCAAATGCTGATTATCTGGCTAGGTCTGTCTCTTTTCTTTTTTTCCTTCTTTTTTTTTTTTTTTTTTTTTTTGAGACGGAGTCTCCTTCTGTTGCCGAGGCTGGAGTGCAAGTGGCGTGATCTTGGCTCACTGCAACCTCTGCCTCCCGGGTTCAAGCGGTCCTGACTCAGCCTTCTGAGTATTTGGGAATACAGGTGCCTGCCACCACACCTGGCTAATTTTTGTATTTTTAGTAGAGAGGGGATTTTACCATGTTGGCCAGGCTGGTCTCAAACTCCTGACATCAGGTGATCCACCTGCTTTGGCCTCCCAAAGTGCTGGGATTACAAGCTTGAGCCACCATGCCTGGCCATTGCTTCTGCTGTTTCTATGAGTAATTAATCATCTTTTGTTTCTGACCCAGGAGCCTTGTGTCTCCTGTCAGTCTTTCTAAAACTGGGACAGTCTAACTTGCTAGCTTGCAAGTAGGATAAAGTTTCAGCCCCTTAACAATTCTTGACATTCTGGTCCATGGAAAATGTTTACCCAGTCTTCCTCAGTGTTAGTGGGCCTGTAGTGACTTCTTAAACACTGCCCTCTTCTGTCTTCCTTTCTGCCTTATCTTCAGATTCTTAAGGCATGCATCAGATCATAGTCAATTATTAATTCAAACTCGAGGAAAACATCTCAGACTTCCCCAATGATCCCATTGTACTTCTCTCTGGAGTTGTGTTGAAGGAAACAGCATTCATTCCCCTTAAATGGGAGATCGTGATTGGATGCTTCCAAATATGCTTCTTGCCAAATAATTTTGTTAATGTTTTTTTCCTCCACTCCTTTGATCTTTTTATATTCTCAACCTGAACAAGAGTACCCAAGAAGGGCCCAAGAATACCTTTTGATATATTCTCACTAATTTATTTGATATCTATCACAGGAGGGGCTTGGTAGAAACTGAAGCAAGGAAAATCGCAATTTTCTTTTTATGTATAGTTTAAATGTGCAATATCTATATATTAATAAAACTTTTCTGAGTAAGTTATTAAAACATACATAATAAATATAAGCATCAAATTCAGGCAAATATAAACCCCCATCCAAGAAAAGAGAATAAGCGGAATGGGATGAAAGAAGAGAAACAGGTGCCTTCCACTGTATCTGTAAAAGTAGAGGTAGATTTGGGAACAAATGACAAAATGGTAACATTTGACATACGATAGAACTGAGTGCTAAACACGTGGTATTTGCTATCTTAATGTCTGTACCTTTCTCAATTCTTGACAATTTATCGTAAGCATATAATAAGTAAAGTTTATGGTGCTATATTTGCTTTCATAGTTCAGAATTATGATTTGGTTTCCTAATACTTGAATGACAATCTGGCTTTTATATACTACTTGGGATCCACTTCACTTCTCAGAGTTCTAAATTCATCGCTCTGTAGTCTTCTGAGGTTGAATATTGCCTTAGTTTAAGTCAAGGCCAGTAATACCATCTTTTTTTTGGTTGAAGTTTTTTTTTTGCCTATTTATAAGATTCCTTTTGAATGCCATATTTATCATCATTTTAATCTAATTTAGTTCATAATAGCCAGTATTTTTTATTCCTTTCTATGTATTGAGCATGGCTTTAAACAATTATATTAAATTGTTTAATCCTGATTGTAACGATATAAGGTATGAGACATTATAGATGACCCTTTATATAGAGAGAAACAGGCACACAAAGTACATTATCCCAATTTATACAGTAATTGGTAACCTGCTTTTAAGCATAGGCAATATTGCTCCAGAGCTTGTAGTCTTAGACACTATGCTATGTTGCCTTTCAAATTATGCATTAATTGCTTAGGTAAAACATAAATACATATTTATTTTATAAGCATTAAAATAAAATATATATCAGAAATTCTCATGTTCATGAACTCAATCTGCCTAACGTTTTCAGGTATTGCAGAGCATTCCAAATATTCATATGCCATAATTTGTTTAACCCATCTGTTTATTGACATTCCACAATTAAGCCTTAAAGGCACACAAAAATATAAGTGATTTATAGTTATTTTGTAAATGAGGTATATATATTTCTTATATTCAGTTGATGAAAATAGTACTGGTATGATATGCTGCCCTCTGATAGGCATCTTTCTTCACTGCCAGAGACACACAAGACACACTAGAATAAGAAAGTGACTTCCTCTGGATTGAGCAGATTTAGGCTGCGCTGGATTTTTTCTTAATTTCTTGTTTACCAAGATTGGAAAGATGATAGTATACACTTTCAGGATTCTCAGCACTATATCATATGTGTCAATAACTATTATAAAATACATACTTGAGTGGACCAATTATAAACTGGATTTAAGAGATAATCCAGTTAGGTGCTTGTCAAATTGCTGTTGTCAGGAACTCTTCAATTTAAGGCTAGTTCTCTTGTCTCAAAGTTTATCCTTGCAAACACCTTGTCTGAGAAGTAAGTGTCATTTGGCCACTTGAGTCTTTCATTTGCAAAGGGTTAACCTGTTGGATATAAAGTAGACACTGACTGTTTCCCTGATTGAGCTTGAGCAAAGGAATTGAACCTCTACATTGTTTTTTTGTCTTACCTTTCATTCTATCTTAGCTTGTGCCAACCTACTCTTCAGGGAATATTTAGTTTGTGCTTGTCAAAGCTCCTTAATTTTCTTAGCTGAAAGGTGTTCTAATAAATAGATTAATGTTAACATAATAATTTGAATGAGAATAAAGAGATAGGAATAATGAACTCAGAACCTTTAGCTAGCTCATTTAAAAATGAAGATATTAGATCGTAGATGAAGATCCTCTGTAAGCATGGTATTTGCATACAGGGTTATGAGGATTTGATAGCAGGGCTTAACCGTCTTATCCATAGATTTTATGTGTTTAAGAAAAGCCGTAATTCAGAGTTCTGTATTTTCTGTGGCAGTTAAATGATTTAAGTGAATCCTGAAACAGGCCCTTTCTGTTAATTTCAGAAATAAATAGCATGTTTTAGGCAATTATTCAAAGGACGTTTTTCTTTAAGCTGATGGCAGGAGATAGAAAGGAGATTTATTTCAAAACAAGTTGAATATTCCCTCAGTATGTGTGATTGCCACTCCAACAATAATAGGAAATTAAGTTTCCGTAATGATACCAGTTTCTTCAACTAGAATCAACAGGAGGGTTTCTCCACTCCACTGAAGACTATCATAAGCATAAGACGTTTGAAAAAATAAAATTGTTTCAGGTTTACTTCAATTCGAATCTCAAGAGTAAACTGTTTACACAATAATTTGTGATAAAATTCAAAATAACCAGAGGATTTGGAATGTCTCAACACAAAGAAATGATAAATGTTTGTGGTAATAGATATGCCAATTACCTTGATTTAATCATTGCACATTGTATGGAAAATATCATATGTAGCTGATAAATATGTACAATTATGTGTCAAAGAATAAACTGGTTACATGTACAAAGAAGGTGGTAGGCGTGGGAAGGACTGAAAATAAGTGCATTTATCTTTTTTTTTTTTTTTTTTTGCCTCTAATACAACTGTAAAAACATGAGTCCTAACAACTGAGAATCTTGGTGAAAGTTTAACAGTTTCTGGGGTATTTGTTATTTTCACTATTCTATCAAACTAATTTGTTTCTTTCAACTTGAGAATCCTTTCTCACTTCTCTAGATCTCTAAGAAATTGTTTTATCTTTTCATTTTGAATCTGGTTCCATCTAACTCAGTCTTGGGGTTCCTTAACTAGTGCTTTTCTTAACTAGTATTGTAAACTTACCAACATCCTTTGAATCCTGTTCCTTATGATGTTTACAGTGATAGGTAACATTTAGTGAATAGACAGACCATTTCCCCAACATCTCAGTGGCAATATTTCTTCTTTAGTAAGTGAATGGAGTCACTTACTAAAGTCACTTACTAAGTCAAAAGTAAAGGCAGATTTAAGTAATGGTGATTCAAATGATAGCCAGAACACAGGAGAGAGGCCACTAGGACTTTTTTACCACTACTCAGTGAAGAATTTGAGGAGTTGAGTTCCAGCTGTCAGAGGTGGGAGTGTTAGTTCTATCTAGAATGCAGTGGTGTCACAACATTCTCCAAGCACTGACACTAGGCCAATGGTGGTCCCAGGTTAAATGGAACAGTCATTGAAAATGCTATAGCTGGCTGATGAACAAGAGAGATCGGAGTTGGAATAAGGTATGTTGCAGTTGGGAACTGGGACAGTAAATGAAAGCATTTAAGAACAGCTATTTTTAGGGAAAATTTTAGTCTGATAGGAAAAAAAAATAGATATTTAAAAAGAGCTGAGCCCCGGTGATCTCAAAATACATTCTTTTGTCATTACATCACATTAAAGCCTACCATATAGGCATTTGTGGTGGAGAATGCCTAGTTGTTTAAATCAATTGCTCTTCCCTTCTGGAGGCATAAGGAAATATTTTCCAAGCTCCATTGCAATTGAGTGAGGCCATGTGACTGAGTTCTGTAATTGCATTAGCAAGATATCAAGAATAAGATGAGAGTGGTTATGAGAGCTGACATTTTGTATTTTAGTAATTTAAATACTATAGTTTATAATTTTAAAATTTTAGATAATTAGAGGAAGAAAATTAAATATGCATTATTTCATTTTTACTGGCATGCCAAATATAGACTGGACATTTTATATCATCACATGCCATTTTAGAATTTATAGAGAGGACCAGAGGCAACTCCCAAGTGGATAGGCTCATAAAATGAATAAGCAGAACAAAGATAACCTGGAAAATATTTTCTGAACCTAGATGGCTTCAATTTCTGATAAGCTGAATAAATACTCATTGGACCTTCAACAGCTTTATCTCTTCTCTGCCTTGCCTGCCTAATGAAAATACCACTAAAGTAATTCTTGAGAGTTGTCTTTTCTTTTCCACAGGCACAGGCATAACTTTTCATATTATATAACACTTTTTTAATTTTAAGAAAAATGGAATACATGCAGAAATCATGAAAAGTGAGATTACAATTTGTGACTTTATGGATAGAACCGGGTGTTTGCTCCTTAGTTGCCCCAAACTCAGCTATAAGAACAGTTGCTTCATGCAAGTAATAATTAGTTTAAGTGTTTCAACAGGTCAGTTTTTCAATAGTCTCTATCCATTAAAGTTATTTTAGCCTCCAAATGTGTTCATATGTCTTCAAGAGTTTATCCTAAAATACCCTGAAATAGCTCACAGAGTATGAACTCTTGAATTTAATAAACTTTGAATTAAACAGAAAAAGATCAAGCAAATGTATACGAATTTTCGACTGGTTAAGTAGCACCCTATTGGAAAATTATTGGAAAGAATCATTCATTTGTATCTGTTTTATAGGAGTCCAAAAATTCATCCACAGCTGAGAGGGTCTCTTTTTCTTAAGGTTAGGATGAGTGTCAGTGAAGAAGAGGCAGGAAGTATATAGAAATTTTTTCTTTCTCCTACACACGTTAATAGCCCCAGCTATTCTTTGAAAGTATTAAATAAACTCCACTTACTACAGTAGATGAAGCTAATCTTCTTTTTATTGGGGAAGAATAAGGACTTAGGTTCTGGATTCTAGTACAGGAATCAAATTTGTCTCCATACTCAAGGTCAACATCCTCCCTCACCCTTCATACTCTGACATTTACCCTGAAGTTTTACCGGTGCCTGTGCTTTCTGTCCTCAGCATTTGGATTGGATTTGGCTTACTTCCACCCACTCTGAGTGTTGAACAGACTTGTGATTGCTTTCAATCAGAATAAATAAGGAGATTACTGTGCATAATAAACAAATTGTGGGCTAAGTCCTGTCATAATAATAGTTTTCATTTTTGTAACAGATTGTTTTGGGAGATCTTGAAGAATTTGAAAATATGGTTTCCCGTGTTTTGCTGATAGGAAAACAAAGTCCCTGGCACCAGTCTAGGATTACAAATCTCAGAGACTACAGCCGAAAACACAGAACTCGCGTTTTGGAAATTTGGACTCGGTTCATTAGAGCAGGATAATAAAAACATGACCAGGATCCCCATCCTCTATTTGGAGGAGGTGGATTTGCTGATTCTGCTAAAGAAATACTTGGTAAAGAATTTGTTTTCTGTTTTGGGACTCCAAAATCATTTACAAAATGCAGAATGTGAATCCTAAAAAATAATAGCAGAGGGTCATATGCTAACTGCCATCTCCAAGGAAAATCTGAAAACAAATTTGCCACTTTGAATAAGCACTTTTATTTATGCAGTACAATCTATCTGTCAAAACAGCATGAGGCTCTGCTCAGTTAAATATTCTAATACAATTAGCAAAGTAATGTAATTGGCTGGCCTTAATAGACATCAGCTCTACGGGCAGCATCACTAAAGTTAACAGTCATGCTGGAGATGGGACCGAGAAGCTGCAAATGAAGCCAGATGTACACACAGAGGGGCTATAGACCCATCAGGATTTCCTGGGGGGAAATATTCATTAAACTGTGCATCTGGTAGAGTGCTTCAAAAATCTGCCCCTCCTTAATGATCCTTTGGCAGATTTGTTTTTAAAAATACCTCACCCCCATTTGAAAGGTAAATCTATATATGACAGTCTTTAGTAAATTAATATATTATTACCAAAAGTATTGTTAAGTCAAAATGATAGTTTCTTATAATGGTGGTGATGCAGTGTGACGGAATCCTCCATATCTCGTATTGTTGAAGAAATTTGAAAAAAAAAAAAAAAAGATTAATGTTCAGATTTACTTATTTTTTGACACTCTTCTCATCAAGAGACCATGGTCTATATCCCTTGTTCCTTCCCCTTAAATCTGGGAAGGCTCTGTGACTGCAGTGACTAATAGAATATTACTGAGTGGTATGTCAGTTTCGGTACTCAGGCCACAGAGACATACAGTTTCCATTTTCTATCTCAGAACACTCACTTTTGGAATTCAGATGTGAGAAAACCCAAGTCCTCTCAGAGAGGATCATGTGCAGAGAAACTGAGGCTCCAGGTGACAGTCCCAGATGAGCTTCCAGCACACAGCCAACACCAAATTGCCATCTTTTAAGTTGTCCACCTACATTGGTCCAGCTGCCTCAGCTGTTTCTGCATAGAGAAGAGCTGAACTACCTCCCCAGATCCCTGCTCACATTACAGATTTTTCACCCAAATTATTGAGTGCTGTCATTTGAAGCCACAAAGTTTTGGGGTAATTTGTTATGGCCATGATAGATAATGGAAATGCTCATCAACAGGTAGCCAAACACATTGAAAAACACATACATTCTTTCCACAATTTCTTTTCTGTCTGGATTTGAAAACAAATTTCCCTCAATAAAATAACTCAGTGGCAATTTTCTCCAGGTCAGTGTTTTTAATTTGTAGCCTGAAATCTGTATGTTTAACCTGATACCAAACTTGTTTGTTCTCTAATCCAGTTGTTGCTGTTCATTTACACTCTATAGATATCTGTGATTCTTCTGAAACTCAGGAAAATACTGCTGGCAGCACCTTCCTTAGTGGTCTCAAAGACTGGAGAAGAAAAGTGGATTCTCACAAGAGTTAGAGGCCTTTCCTTTGCTGTTGTTTATGTAATTTTGTCTCGCGTGTTTTTATAGGATGTGGTACATCTTATTTCTAAAAATTAGTTAAGTATATAAATTACCATGATGATTACACTGTAAGTGAATTAATAAGACTCATCCCTGTACCAAAGCTCTGAATTTCCTCTTTCTTCTTATAGATTTCTTCTGAATTATGGCTTTTCCTTTCACATGTCCAACTTCTTGATGCCTACTGACATGCTCACATTTTTCTCTTTCTATAAATTGAATTTATTCCTCAGCCTAGCTATTCTTCCAAGCTACTGACATTTCTTTCTTATTTTCATTTGTTACCAGGATTCTTTAAAGAGTAGTCCACCCTTGATTTCTCTCCCTTACGTCCCCATGGTTCCACTGACATAAGTCACCAGGTGAACAGTGACCCCATACATGTTAAGCCTAAAAGATGTTTTTAGGCCCTAGGTTATGCTTTATATGACACACAACCTTCATAATCATTTATTTCTTCTTAAAATACTATTTATTTCATCTCCATGGCACTGTCATCTTTGTTTTTCTCCCATCCCTGTGATTGCTCCTTCTTGAGTTTCTCTTTTTTCCCAGAAGGTGCTTTCTTCCCTCCTTCTAGATGGTCCCCTCCATACACATGGCAAAAATTGCTCTTTGGGCCATATTTCTCTCCTGAGTTCCAGACCCTTGTATTCAACTACCTGTTGGTTGTGTCTACATTTCCCATGTTGAAACTATCATACTCTACTTCCTACCAACCTGTTCAATACTTTGTTTACAACCTCAGGTAAGTGGCACAATCCTCCATCTAATTGTCCAAGAAAAAAAAAAAAACAGGAATGAAGTTTACTTTCTCTCTATCTCATAATTTCCAAATTCAATTAATCACCAAAAGTTCCTTTTCTTACATTCTTAAACTCACCCACTTCTGTCCACTTCTTTCTAGTTGCACTATTCCAACTGTAGTTTAGGCAGTCATCGCCTCCTGTTTCTGTCTCTCTGCCTCCTTTGTTCACCACTCCAATCCATTTTTTACATTGCAGTCAAAGTAGTCTTTCTAAAATCCAAATCTGAGCATGACATTTCCCAGTGTAAAAATCTTCAGTGACAACTATTCCCTGTTTGGACATAGTGTCTTTTAAATTTTTTGCTTCCCAGAGCTCTACTCCATCTTTCAGTGGTTGTGCACTTTGCACTGGTGCCATTCAAATTCCTTTTCTAAACCATCATTGGGAAACACCAGCTTGCAGTCAAAGTTGCTGTGATAAATGGCAGAGGGCTAGATCGCCTTTCTTTATAGACTCATTTTCTGTGACATGCTGGACAAACCTCAAGTTGCACCACATTTTAAATGAGACCAAAATCATTTGAACTTTGACAAAACATCTCTTAAGAGTCCTACCTGCTATCTTTATGGACTGCCAGTTATTTTGATTAAATATCCCCTTTGAACCTGCAACCTTCTGTTGTCCTCTATGAGACAGCTCTTTAGTATATTTTGCTAAATGATAGCAGCACATGTCGCTTTAATTTTTTTTTGTCTTGTTCTTTTCTCAGACTAAAGCTGTCTGTTCCTAGAGTTTACCTGTCGATAGACGATACTAGGACCCTGTGATGATGTAAACCTATTCTTATTATCTTTCTCCACTAACCGTACTTGAAATGTACAGATTCTCATTTGTAATGATAATCCCCAAACTGTGAATATTTTTCAGATGCCATCTGATCATTACAAGATAAATCTGTATGTTTCCTTTTCAGATTTTTATAGTTCTTGTTTGTATTGTGTGGCAGCAAGCTAAAATATATCTTTTAAGACTATTTTTTTTTACTCTTAAAACTCAGGGTTTTATATCAATGTTTTAAACAATTCTAGTTACACTCCACTGCAATAGTAAAGCCCTAGGAAAAGCTAAACAAAACTCAGCTTGTGCTTATTGATTTACGTATTGAGTAGTTGATCTTATAAACAATGCACTGATGCAAATACCTCTAAGCTTTAACTTTTAATAGCTATGTATATCTAGTAATACTTTGCTGGTTATAAAACTTAAAAAGAAAAATGTTCTAAAATTCATTCCTTCTTGTAGAAAGCAGAAAATACTGGAAAAGCGAGAGAGAATCAAAATTTTACTTCTTTTGTATAAAGGATAACAGCACAGTTAACTTTCTACAGTACTGTCCTTCAGTTATATAGTTCCTAGCATATAATGGACACTCAATAAGTATAACAAATGGCTGTGGAATGTATGGAGGAATGTATAAGAATGAAAATGACAGTATATTTTTATTTTATGAGGTACTCTTCTAATATGATATTCACAAAATCCTATTATCTATATGTAAACAATCCCCCTATATGCAACCATTTCCCTATTGCTAGGTATCTGAATAATTCTTTATCAGAAATAAATGCAGATATGATATGCCTTCAGATATATCTTGTCTGCTTCTGTGATGGTTTCCCTAGAATAATATATATGTATTCCTTTTTATAAACTTCTCATATTGTCTTTTTTTTTCCAGAATAATTTAAATAACTCATGCACTAAAGGAGTCAGAGGTAATGTGTTTGTCAGTGATTCTTAAGCATGCTAAGATGCATGCTCAAAGCATATTTCACAGATTTTACTAATTTCACCTTATGGGCTATTTTATTCTTATATCATCTACATTTTTAAATTCAGTTACATGTGGAAAAATCTGTTTTTCTCTTGCCGCATCTGATGTACTGGATAGTATCTGGATATATTATGCTTTCTTATACAATAGCATACATATATATCTACTATGTGACATATTTATTTTTTCTATTTAAAACTTTTAGTTGGTGTTACTTAAATCTGAAAATGAAAATATATAAACTATATATTTTGTTTACATGATTAATTCTATAAGTTATAGGTCTTCCATGCTTCAGTTATGTCTGAGATGAGCCAAGTCAACACCTAATGTATGGGCAACATTTAAATGTATGGAGCTTTCAGGGTTTTGCATGGCAAATGTAGTTGTTGATAAAGGTAGTAGTATTGTAAATTTCCTTTTTTTAAACTTGTAAGTTCAGGGGTACAAGTGCAGATTTGTTACATAGGTAAACTTGTGTCATGGGTGTTTGTTGTACAGATTATTTCATTGCCCAGGTATTAAGCCTAGTACCCATTAGTTATTTTTCCTGCTCCTCTCCATCCTCCTACCCTCCACTCTCTGAAAGGCCCCGGTGTGTGTTTTTCCCCTTTGTGTGTCCATGTGTTCTCATCACTTAGCTCTTAGTTATAAGTGAGAATATGTGGTATTTGGTTTTCTGTTTCTGTTGAGTTCACTTAGGATATTGGCCTCCATCTCCATCAATGTCCCTGCAAAAACATGATCTCATTTTTTTTAATTGCTGCATTGATACAGTATTGTAAGTTAAAAGTGATAGATTTCAAAGAATGGTTTTTGTCAAAAAATGTACTTTAGGTATCATCTAATATAATTCGTAGTTTTTTAACTGTTTTCCAATGTCATTTAATAGGGTTTATGTGACTAGTATCTTAAAATTGTTATGAATTACACTGTTATTTTGACTCTTCAGAAAGTGCTTCCAAGTGCTTAAATCGTATGCCATCACAGCTCACTTAGGATAGAAACTGATTGTATGTAATGTTGTTTTGCATAAAATAACTTGAAAACTGCTTCATTCATTGTCTACATTGTGGTAGACATTGTGCCAGGTTTTTAATATACAACCTTTGTATCAATTTCATCAGCTTCATTTTTTCATACCTACTTTGAAAGGTAGGTAAAATTATAGAAACTAAAACTCAGAAAGCTCAAATTATTACCTGAAGGTCACACAGCTAATAAGTATTAGAATCAACACTTGAACATATACGTGTCTGAATTCTTTCTCTATGCCAAAAGCTGTTGGTGTCTTCTTGGACTCCAGAATAGTTTCATTAGTATACATGAATTGCTAAATTATCTGCCTAAGGAATTCAGTGAAAGTAGGTGAAGGCAGAATACATTTCCACAGGTAATAATATTAACCTAATTTTTTTTTGCATTTTTCAATATACTTTTTAATTTTTTTTAGGAATTACAGTGTAATATAAGTTATTCCAATATCACTTATTCTTCCTTTCATTTGATAAACTTTTCTGAATGAGAGAGTAATTACAGGTAGAGTGTAAGAAGTGTACCTACTGTGGTTATACTGTCATGGTGATTAAACTTTTAGTGCTCTAAATTTCTTGTAAGGTTTTGCATAAGAAAGATATTGATTTTAGGTTTGTTAAGTCAAGTGTAAATGTTAAAATTTAAAGTTAACCATAAAAATGATACCATATATAACTTCTGAACAAGTAGAGGGGAAAAAGCATTAAAAAGTTCAATCAATATAATAGAGTGCAGGAAATTATAAAAGAGAATGAAAGAATAGGCAGGGGAAGAAGTAAACAAATGCTAGTAGAAATAAAGCTAAATGTCTTAGCAATCAACATCATCCATCATGAGTGCTAAGACAGAAAAGAAGTTGAAAATTGGTGATGCATTCATCTCAATAGACAAAGAAAAAGGCTTCAATAAAATCCAACAATCATTCAAGATTAAAAAACCCTCAACAGACTAGGCATCAAAGGAACATACCTCAGATAATAAGAGCCATCTATGACAAACCCTCAGCTGACTTCACACTGACTGAGCAAAGCTGGAACAATTTCCTTTGGAAATGGAACAAGACAAGGATGCCTACTCTCACCACTCCTATTCAACACAGTACTAAATGTTCTAGGCAGAGCAATCAGGCAAGATAAAGGAATAAAAGACATGCAAATAGGACAATAAGTCAAATTATCTCTCTTTGCTGATGATATCATGCTGTACAGAGAAAACCATGAAGACTCTGCCAACAGCCTTCTGGAACTGACAAATTCAGTACAGTTACAGCATACAAAACCAATGTACAAAACTCAGTAGCATTTTTATATATCAATAACATTTCAGCTGGAACTAAATCAAGAACACAATCTCATTTATAGTAGCCATAAAGAAATGAAATACCTAAGAATTCATCTACCCAAGAGGTAAAAGATCTCTACAAGGAGAACTATAAAATATGATGAAAAAAATGAGATGACACAAATAAATGGAAAATGTTTCATGCTCATTGAACCAATATTATTACAATGGTCATAGTGCCCAGAGCAATTTACAGGTTCAATACTACACCAATCAGAATACCAAAGTCATTTTTCACAGTCTTGGAAAAATTTATTCTAAAACTCATTTTATAAGTAAAAAAAGAACCCAAATAGCCAAAGCACTCCCAAGTGGAAAAAAAACAAAAAACAAAAAACTCAAAGTCAGAGACCTCATATTATCTGACTTCAAAGTGTAATGTAAACTTACAGTAACCAAAACAGCATGGCACTGTTGGAAAAACCGACACATAGACCAATGGAACAGAACAGAGAACTCAGAAATAAACACACAAACCTACAACCATCTGATTTCAACAAAATCAACCAAAATTAGCAATGCAAAAAGGACTCCCTATTCAATAAATGGTGCTGGGATAACTGGCTAGCCATATGCAGAAGAATAAAACTGGACCCCTACCTCTCACCATATACAAAAATCAACTGAAGATGGATTAAATATTTAAATCTAAGACCTCAAACAATAAAATTCCTAGAAGAAAACCTAGGAAATAACTTTCTTTACATTGGCTTTGGCAAAGAATTTATGACTAAGTACTCAAAAGCAATTGCAATAAAACAGAAATTGTCAAGTGAGACCTAATTAAACTAAAGTGCTTCTGTACAGCAAAAGGAATTACCAACAGAGTAAACAGACAGCCTACAGAATGGGAGAAAATATTAGTGAATTATGCATTTGACAAAGGTCTAAATATCTAGAACCTGTAAGATACTTAAATCAACAAACAGAAACCAAATAGTCCTAAAAACACTAACAAAATTGACAAATGACATGAACAGACACTTCTCAAAAGAAGATGTATAAGCAGCCCACAAACATGAAAAATGCTCAACATTACTAATAATCAGAGAAATGAAAATCGAAACCACAATGAGATACCATCTTACACCAGTCAGAATGGCGATTATTAAAAAGTAAAAACAGATGCTCACGAGGCTGTGGAGAAAAGGGAACACTTATACGTTGTTGATGGGAATGCAAACTAATTCAGCCAGTGTGGAAAGCAGTTTGGAGATTTCTCAAAAAACTTAAAAGAGAACTACCATTTTGACCCAGCAATCCCATTACTAGTTATACATCCAAAAGAAAAATCATTCTACCAAAAAGACACAAGCACTTGCATACTCAAAACATTAATCCCAGTAGCAAAGACATGAAATCAGTTTAGGTGTTTATCAATGGTGGACTGAAAAAGAAAATGTGCTACATACACACCATGGAATACTATGCAGCCATAAAAAATTAAGAAAATTATGTCTTGATATGGCTTGGCTCTGTGCCCCCACCCAAATCCCACTTTGAATTCTAATGCCTATAATCCCCACGTGTCAAAGGTGGGACCAGGTGGAGATAATTGATTCATGGGTGTGGCTTTCCACATGCTGTTCTGGTGCTAATGAGTGAGTCTCCCTAGATTTGATGGTTTTATAAGCATCAGGTATTTCCCCTGCTTGCACTCACTCCATCCTGCCACCCTGTGAAGAAGGTGCCTGCTTCTCCTTTGCCTTCCATCATGATTATAGGTTTTCTGAGGCCCCCTAAGTAATGCAGAACTGTGAGTCAACTAAACCTCTTTTCTTTATAAATTACCCAGTCTCAAGTATTTCTTCACTAAAATATGTCCTTTGTAGCAACATGGATGAAGGTCATTATCTTAACGCAAGAACAGGAAACCAAATACTGCATGTTCTATTTTGTAAGTGGGAGCTAAATATTAAATACACGTAGACAAAAACTATGGGAACAATAGACACTGGAGAGTACTAAACAAGGGAAGAAAAGAGGGTGCTTTGATTAAAAAAAAGGATTTGTAGGAACCCTCTCTATTAGGAAAATTAGTGTTACAAAGACTCACATGAACTGTCATTTGTCTTTTGACCTAGTGACAACAAAAAATTTGAGGTTCTCCACATTAAAATATATTTTAAAAAGGAAATTCCTGATATAGATGATACTCTGCAAACCAAGGACCTTGGTAGGAATTCTGACATTTTGGTTATGGCATAATTGCTGACCAAGAGTTTTGGTTTAAGAGAACTTTGGGCAGAATCTCAAGTGTTGAACCTTGTTAAATTTCTATTTCTTTGTGCTAAAATTACCATCACCCCAAATTAATGAGTTTTTCTGAATCGTTCCCTCTTTCAGTGCCTTGTTCTTTTCCTACCATAGTTTGTAACTATATAGTATATGTTCGTATATTAGCTTAATAGCTATCTTTACAACTAATCGGTATCCCTGACAAGGCAAGGCTACTGTTTCGTTCTCCAATCTCAGGAATATCACCTGACACAAAGGGAACATTGATAAATATTTATTCGGTGCAAAAATGAATGCGACTGATTATTGAGAGAATTTTCACCCTATGATATAAAAAAATTAGCTATCTAAATTCATTTCCATAGTTACATGACAGAAGAATTCCACAATAAGAGCTATATAGTCCTTTGTAATTAAAGAGTAGACTTTCTGAAAATATATATGGGCAAATATAGAGATTATTAGCAGCTTTATATTCATCCCATTCTTTCTAATATCACGTGTGGCATATTTAACCTACTTGTCAAGAGGAAATAGACATTATATATACTTTGAATACCATGCGCAGCAGAGGCTTGTTTCATTTGTTTGCATGCAATTCTCAGTTTATCTAGAATAACAGCAGAAGATGAAATTCCTGGGAGTTTTCCTGTAGTTTGGAGTTAGGCTCAGCACTTACCAGAGTTAGTAATTGCATATTTATTTATGTTTGCTTAATATCTGTATTTCCTGAGGGCAAGGATGATTATCCTCATAACTATGTGTATATATTCTAGCATCCCATCGGCGTTACTATTTTTCTGCTTAGGAATGACAGACATGTACTACATAATCCCTTAGAAATGGAGTCATGGAGACTGTGTGCATTTGTAATTGCCTTGTTATCTGGAGACATTCTAGGGTGTCATTAAATTTTATTGGGCATTTCAGGAGTATTTTTATTCCCTCTAAGGTCTTGGTATGGATTTATACCAGAAATTATTTTTAGGGCAAAGCAGAAAAACTCTAGAAAAAATAACATACCTATGAGCCCCATTTAGTTTTCAAAAAATAAACATTATCATAAAATCTGCATTTCAGAGTTTACAACTCAGTTTTTTTGTTTCATTTTGTTTTACAGTGATAAGAGAGAATATTCTTTACACAGTAATAAATATAAAATTTGGTGTATGTATTTTTTTCTAAAATACACATTTCCAAAGTTACTTAGGAAAAGGTTTGAACCGCAAAATTTATTAAGTGCACAACGCAATGAAACAAGGATCAAATGTTACCTCCTTCTTGATGAAGGGAAAAAAGCAAAACTTTTCAAGGAAATATACTTCATAAACAGATTTTAACTCAAAGTTGTTTGTATTTAAATATATAAAGTTAACCAGAGAAATAAAACTCTATAGCCAAGTACCTCATAATTACCGAAGAATATTAGCTTTTGCTTGGTGTTCTGATTATTTATAATTATTGCTATATATTTTGGAATACCTTTTAATTATAGAATTTGTTTATTTCACTTTGTGTTATTAACGGGAAGATAGCTCTGTAATAGATTACGGAGGAGAGAGGTGCAAGTGGGAGAAGTGACAGGGAGAAGGGAGGCTTTTCTCCTCTCTGAACTAAGAATGGTTTATTAACATTTGTGTTATCACACTCTGGAGAAGGAAATTGTATCCCTGCTCTGTAAATTTTTTTTTCATGCAAAGATGTTGAATTAAAAGGAAAATTGTCATACTAAACAGTTCATTTCATAACATTTGATTCTGCACGTATAAGGAATTAACCTAATGTCTCAAAGAGTTCACATAACAAGTTAATAGAGAGCAACAGATGGAAATAGGTACAGAGAACAATGCAATGTCTTCTAGGTTTTACCTTTATGGGTGATAGTTTCTTGAGTGTTGAGCCTATTCTAGGATACATAGACATGATGAACATTTCAAGAGTCTCTTTACACTGAAAAGAAGTGGTGTAAAAGAAAAATTGCATCTATTAGAATTAAATGGGCAAGAACAATTTTATTCTAGAGTATTTCAATAGGGTTTAAAACTATTGCAATAGGAGAGCAATTCAACTCAAATTCTCAAACAAAAGGCAAGAGATTTTTTAAAGCACTGGGGTTAGCTAGTGGAAAAGTACTGGAAAAAGTTAATAAAGAGGTTGGTCAATGTGATTAGGCCATCTGTGTTTGCTAATTGGTGCTTATGGAAGTTAGGCACGGATCCTGCCATAGACTGTGACTAGGGCACCATTTTTATTGATGATTACATTTCAAAGGGATGGCTCCCAGGTCCTTGGGAAAGACATTCCTTGGTTGTAGAAGATTAACATCTTAAAGAGGAAGAAAAAGAATTTACAGCTGCAAGTTTTCTAAAGTAAATGCTCTAATAAAAGGGAAGTTAGGGGCCTATAGTCAGGAAGAAGCCTGTCTAAAGTTTAGTCAACTGGGGAAATGTTAGAATCATCTAGGTGAATAGACGTGACATGTGTAGGTAGTAGAGTTATCATCTTGGTTGGTTAGGGACAGATTTGAAGTCTCAATGGATGTTGAGAGCTCAATTTTTTTCTCAATAGTTTACAACAGTTTACTAAATGTAATATTATTTTCATAGGCTTTCAACTCAGAAAATCTCATTTTTGATTTACTAGTTGAGGCAAAAATAGATTATAATATTTCTTGTGACAGCTCCAAATTCTTTTACTTCTTGATTTTTCTCTCCCAAAAGTATAATATAAATATTATACATAATACTACATTTTAAGGGGTATAAAAATCTTGTATGCAATAATTTTAAATGATATACAGTGCTAAAAAAAACATAAAATTGGATCTAACACCATAATTTTATTGTAAGACATTCTTTTTAAAAACATTTAATACTTGGGTGATGAATACCTTAAAATTGGATCTAACACCATAATTATATTTTATTAACTGTAAGACATTCTTTTTAAAAACATTTATTTAATACTTGGGTGACGAATACCTTAAATATCCTGATTTGATTATAACACATTCTGTGTATCTAAAAAGTTTTCACACGAGCCCCATAAATATATATAAATATAATGCATGAAAAAAATTTAAAGGTACATTTAATAAATTTCTTTTAGTTTCGAAATTGGGATATAAATTATAATCTATAGCATCTCACATTTATCAATATCAGTTTATTTTCTCCCTCCTCTCTTCCCTTTTCCTTTTCTTTTTGAAATTCTCAAACCCTGGCTGGATTAAATCACCTGAGATGTATTTTGTTTCACCACATTTTGTTTTGCGTTTAAACACTGAAACACGAATTCCTGGGTTCTACTACCAGGTTTTCTGATTTAAGCTGTTTATGGTAGGCCCCGGGCATTTGGACATTTTAAAAGGTCCCAGATGATCTTAATGTACAGCCAAGAATGAGAAATACTAGTCCAAGTAATTGAGAGTTGATTACATATAAAATAAGGGTTTCAAAACTAGCTGATTACCAACATAGAGATTGCTGAGTCTCTTCCCCATAGGTATATTTAGGTTGCGGCCTTGGAATCAATGTTTTAAAAATCCAATACTGAGGTTTGCACTGATGTGACTGCCCCTTAAGAACTGTGTTGTCTGTTCCCCTGAGAAGGATGGGCAGGAGCCAGCAGCATGTGACACTTCAGGGGCTCTTGCTTCAGCTTTCTTCTTGTGATCTTCACGACCTCTCCACCTTTTAAAGCTATATTGAGATGTGTCTGGATTTATCTAAGAGATGTCTTCCTGAAAATATTCCTCCAAAATTACTTCTGACTATAGAGGTGGCTTCTTCAGGTACTACTTAGTCTCTTTTGTTTTCTACCACAGGAATTACTCATATATTTTAGCCTCTTGCTATAGAACAACTATTTATCTCATTTTTTATTTCATTGCTTTTACTTGCAGGGTCTAGTACCAAATGGTGTAAAATCTTCTCCTTCTCAAAAAGTAGCTAAGTAAGAATAAACATAGTTTTGGAGTTTGTTGTTGTTTCTTTTTTTGAGGGATTTCACTAGTAGCAATAAGCAGAGACCAAAAGAATTAAATAAGCTTATCAAGGTTTAAAAATCTAAAGCTATCTTAGTGTTTTTTGAAGTGTCACTGCTAAAGCAGACTTTCTTCTTTTAACTTATCTTGAAAATTAGAGGTAGCCAGGTAAACTTTCTTTGGACAAATTTCTTTGGACAAATTTATTGACATACTCTAACTTCTAGCAGCCTTTTTTCTTACTCAGTTGTCTTCAATTTTACCCTATTTAACATAAGTGGGGGCCAGCAAGTCTGGCACTAGCCAGTTGGCTTGAATCAAGAAACAAAGATAGGTTATTTTGGCCAAAAAAAAAAAAAAAAAAAGCCAGAAAAACATTATTTCAGGTGATCTCCGATTAAGTGAGAAATCACTTTCAATCTATCATGGCTGTACATAGTAGAGATATTCGGTTCCATGTACTGTTGGAATCCGTCAGCACAGTATAGAATTTGAGGTGATCCCTAGATGGCAGTTTTCCCTTCCTCCCTTTTCCAGTAACCCTGGTTACTAGAAACCAGGGTGTCAACCATCATAAAATTTCTCTGAAATAATGATGTTTATACAATACATGTATGAACTCTTGTTTTAATTATCTCACATAGACTCTGTGTGTATGCTTAAGAATTTTTGCAGTGTGCAGGATTGTAGAAATCTCATCCTTAGAAAACTGATATGCTTGCCGGTGCCTCATTTGTATATTTCTTATGCACACACTTAACATCGGAAGAATTATTACAAATAAAACATCTTCCTTTGAGTTTGTTTTTTGTTTTTTAAATCTCAGGCTGAGAAACATTGTTGCTTATAGCATTATTACTTCACTTCCTCAATGACTGAGACTGCAACATGACACACTATGGCATTTTTAATTCTCACAAGTTAGCATATAAGATTATTCTTCTGGAGAGTGTGTTATTTCACACCAAGCCCTCAGTGCTTTGAAATGCTGCCATTGTTGATGCAGGTTGAGCACTCCTACATTTTTGGTACAGGTTGGTAAGGTTGAGTGTTCCTTATTCAAAATGCTTGGGACCAGAAATATGTTGGATTTCAATTTTTTTTTTAAATTTCAGGATATGTACTGATTCAAAATATTAAGTGAGTATTCCCTTTGAGCATCCTGTTGGTGCTCAAAAAGTTTGAGATTTTGGAGTATTTCAGATTTTTGGATGAGGAATGCTTAATCTGTACTTGGAAGAAGTAAAAGTTAGAAGCACAAAGTGTAGTTCCGAAGAGAACCTCTTGCTGCCTTTCGTGTTCCTCCTTTATGTGATTGCATTTATCGCTTTTCTTTAAGATTTAGTAAGATCAACAGTGGTCTAAAACCTCAGAGTTGGAAATGTTCTCAAGTCATTTGGTTCTGAGAATTAAGCACATGAGATGGCGATTGACTTTTTTTCAATAAAAGCATGACATCATTGGTAAAACTGGGCCACAGAGCCATAAAGAAGATTGAATGGCTCACTTACTCTGTACACTCTAATTTAGATATTGGAATTGATACTTTTTGCTGCCTGTCTTGCTTGTCATTTTATTAAAATAGGCATTGGCTTTGTTAATTCAATTTGTTTTCTCTGTGTTCATTAGTGCCTTATTTTTTTTCTACTAAGGTGGCAAAATTTCATTACAGTTTTTAACTGTCTCATCAGTAGAAAGTACTTTGGGATGTAAATTGCTTTTGGCTAGGAGTTGTTTATCAGTAAAAATTGTTTTTGGATGTAAATATGGTTTGGCTGTGATGTGCCTGAAGTTTAAATTTTGTATTATTTTAGAACATTGTTGTTCTACCATGAGTACTAACTTTGGAAAACTTCCAATAAACTGTTCAGTTCTAGTCAACTAAATTGAATATATGATTGGAAATTAGTAGGCGTTGAACATGTGTAAAAGTTCAAATTTAGCATAGGTATAAAGGCATGACCTACCTTTGGAAAAGCCAAAGTCAAATATATAGTTTATATGCCTAAAATTATATATATTTAATGATTAGAAGATCAAATAATAAAATTCATTGCAAAGTACTATTTCATTCTAGTTTTCAAACATTTCCTGAAATTGGAGTACGACTGTATTTGTTATGCACATATATAGTGTCTTCCTCTTCTCTGCTCCTAACCACTGACCACTGACAGGCTGTTTTAAATGTATGGTTTGTTATGGCTTGTTTTCTTACCACTGGTATCATGTAATGTGCTGGAGGGTAATGACTATAAATGACAACTTTTATGACAATGAGTTCTATGGAAAGTTTAAAAGTAAAAAGTACATCACTGAGTGAAAAATATCCTGGGTATGAAGTACCAAGGTGTGATTGATATCACTTCTTGTTCTTGTTCTTGTGACAAGAGCAGAGACGTAGTAAAGCCCCAGCAGGCAAGGAATTAGAGGAGAAAGGAAAGCCTTAAGTGTTGAAACGAGCACAATATGATCAGAAGTTGTCGATATGGGTTATCTGTAGTAGAATGCAACTCTGTAGGAGTCACAAAGATAACTGATAGGCAGAGTGGCTCCTGATAATGAAGTATGGGCTTGGACTTAGGAGATTCAGTGTCGGCTCTGTTTGCAAAGTTAAGGAAAACCTCTTTACAGACCCCAACAGGAAAGTAGCATGAAAAAATGGTGTTTCCAACTTTACTGCTCCCCTGTAAGTTAGGAACAAGCTACTGGGAAAGGTATCTGGACATAGGAAACATTAAGAAAGAAAAGAGATGTTTGAGTTCATATACACATTTAAAAGAAGAACTATTGGCAGGAACGTCTGAAAAGCAGTAAGGTCTGTCTCAGTTTAGACAGCTCATGTGCAGTGTGCACACAGAGTGTAAACCTTTTGTAGGGTACACCGTAAATGTTGAAGTGCAAAGTACTTAAGAATATGTCGCTGGGCTGAGTGTGCAGAAAAATTCAGGTGGCAAGGTGTGTATAAAATAAAAGGAAATGGTAATAAAAGGTAAAGAATATTTGAGGAAGAACAGTAATTTTAGTTCAGGCTAAAGATAAAGTAAGAAAAACAAGAAGCATATTAAATCAAGCAGACATAGCTTATTCATTTTTAAAAAAATAAAAATCATACCTTGAAACCTGAAGTTACTCTCTCTATAAGTTAAATTCAGAATTAATGAATAAAAGAAGCAGCTAGAATTTAAAACAAAATTGGCTCTTGGGTTTTGAGATGGAATGGTTAAGGAGTGGATGACAATTTGTAGTGGAGTAATGTGGTAGAAAGAATAGTTGGCCCCAAAGATGTCCACATCCTTATCCTGTGATCCTGTGAATATGTCAGGTTATATGGCAAAAGAGAATTAAGGTTTCTGATGGAATTAAGATTGCTAATCAGCTGACCTTAAAATAGGAAGATTATTTTTGATAATCTGGATGAACCCAATGTAATCACAAGTCTCCCGAAACCATGGAAGAGGGAATCAGAATTGTCAATGTCCGAGCGATGCCCTGTGAGACTCAACTGGATCCACTGGCTTTGAAAATGGAAGTGAGCCAAGGAATGCAAGCAGTCTCTAGAAGTTGAAAAAGCAAGAAAATGTTTTCCCCTAGAGACTAGAAATGAACCAGACCTGTGGTGGGCACCCCTTTTCTTTTCTTTTCCTTTCCTTTAGTCTTTCTTTTCTTTTCTCTCTCTCTCTTTTTTTTTTTTTTTTTCGAGACAGGGTCTGTGGACATCTTTTTCTATTCCTTTTCCCTTTCCTTTTTCCTTTCCTTTCCTCCCCTTTTTCCTTCCCTTCCCTTCCCTTTCCTTTTCTTTCATTTTTTTTCTCTTTTTTCCGCTTCCCTTCCCTCTCCCTTCCCTTCTCTCTCCCTTCCCTTGCCCTTCCCTTCCCTCCCCGCCCGAAAGTATTAGTTTTGATATTTGAAATACAGACTCTGATTATCTGGCTGGGAAATCTTGGGGAAACTGCTTAACTTCTTTTGGTGAGCTTTCTCATCAATTATTCCCCTAACATCCAGAAACACTTGTTGTTAGTTTTGTTGCTGCCTCTGGCTGACCATCCTCTGACTCTTTCTCTTCACTCTTATATTGCTGATGGTCTCCAGCATTCGGATTTATTCATTTCTGATTTCTTTTCCAGAATATACCTCTATATTTTAGTGATTCCGCTTGTCACATATTTTCCCGAATGATAAGCCTATTTGTCTATTCAACACCCAATCATTTCTTCAAATTACAATCATATTTCCAAATAACTCCCTGGCACCTTTACAAGGACACAGCAAGCTCAACTTGTCTGCAAACAAATTTACCACATTCTCCTTTGTCCCAAATTCCTTTTAGTAATTTTAATTCCATTTAAATAATTAAATGCCTTTTAAATATCTAAAATACCAATGTTTAATTTTTCTGGTTAAATCACATACCTTTATTCTTTTTTTATCGTTATTGAGGAGAAGAGGAATGGAAAGAAAATTAACATTTATTGAACAGTAAATATTTGTTAGATATTGAAATAAACCTCTTCTTACACATACAATTGGGATTTAAAAAAATGTTAAACTAATATAGTTAAACTGAAGTAGCAAGTTTCACTGCGTCTCACCAAGCCTTTAAGCAAAAGCATCAATCACTTCTGGAGGAAAGAAGATACCATATAGAATAAGGATTCGCAAGCTATTTTCTGTAGCTGACCATAGTAAACATTTTCATCTTGGTGTGCCGAATATCATCTTTGTCTCATATTCTTCTTTGGTTTTTGATTTGCTTGTTCATTTGTTTTATTTAACAATACTTTTTAAAATGTATAATCTATTATGAGCTCATGGACTCTACAAAAATAGGCTTGATTTGGCCTGCACATGATAGTTTGTCAACTAGAACAAATAGAGCTGAATTTTATCCATAGTGAGAAGATATTCTGAAACTTAGACTTTGTTGAGAAAGAAAAGTGTTTTTTCTAATTTATCAATATTTCCTTTTACATATAAAAAATTAGCTCTAATAAAACTGAATTATTTTTACTATTAGGTATAACATAGAGGAATGGATTTGTGGGATACTCCCAACAAACAGGAAGGGGAAGTAGAAAGGCCTTCTGGAGATGAGAGGGGAAGCCAAGGAAAAAGTGAGAGAAATTAAACTTCGGCATGTACTCCTGCATGTCTCCTACCCCTCAACATTAGAGGTGGCAGAAATATTCAGTAAGATTTCGGGGTGAGGGAAATTCCAGAAGAGAAGGACTTGTCCTATTTTTCCCAATATAGAACCTAAGAAAATTAGCAGCTCATTAAAGAAGCACCATGTCTCAAAAGTTTTAAAAGTGATAGAACATTTGGCAGAGGATGTTGGTAGACAGGGTCTAAGATATATCTTATGATATATGTAGCTAGAATTAACCCTGTAGAAGATTCAGAAGTTCTCAAATATTCCAAAAGCAAGAAGTTAAATTGCTGAGACAAATGGTGCAGGAATAGGGCTGGTGTTTGAGACAAGGGGGATTTAAGACTTCATAATAATACGGTTGTCAGGAGTTATGAACTTCAAAAGCAGGTACAATTCTGAAACCTCAATAAACAGCTTTAGCAGTAGATTATCCAAGGACCAGGCTAGAATGACTATCTCCCAGTGAGTAGCTATAGAACAGTAAAGTGGACATTGCAATTTCTTAAGATTTAATCAGGCAGTAGTCTAATTTAAAGATAGTTAAAATTTCTGATACTCCTATGATCATGATGTGGAGATTCTATGATTGCTTTGAACAACATGGTATGGTGGGAATAACCTGGTGCCAGTCTTCATGCCCAGGCCCTAAGTGGCTGGCAAATTCTTCTGTCTCTTAGAACACATGTTCTTGGGCACTGCCTTTGGATATCTCCAAACTCAATGTTTTGCGAAGCCTAAAACACATGGGGAGGCTACATGCAGGCACCAAGGTCAACAGACCCAGCTGAGCTGCCAGTCAATAGCCTTCATCCATTAATGTGAGATAGTCATCTTGATGTCAAACCCAGTTAATCCTTTAGATATCTGTAACCCCAGTGGATTTCTGGCTGCTACTATGTGGTAGACCTGAAGTGATAAATCAACCACAGTTAGCCTACAGAGCCTTAGGAGATGATAAGCAATGCCACAATATGTAATCGCAATACAAGCCAAGAACACTTCATCACTATGTGGTGAAGAGCTGCCAAGGTGAACTACCCATACCAGGAGTGTATTTCTTAAGAATGTGAAATAGACTTTAATGTATGGAGCCATTTTGATTTCAGGCTTAATATACTAAGCTACAGCCAGACATTTGAGTTCTCAAAAGTGAGGTTTGAAACTAAGTGATTATTAAAACATAATCTGCAGACCTCTGAGATTATTTTAGGCAGTTTTTAATATCAAAACTATGTTTATGTAATTCTAAGATACTAATGATGTTTGCATTGATATTAAAAAAAATAATGGTCAAAATTGCTGATGCCTTAGCACAGATCAAGGCAGGAGCAATGAACTGCACTATAGTCATTATGTTCTTCACTGGCAAGTATTTTGGATTAAAAAACTATTTCACTTAAGAATTTCCTCAATAAAGAAGTAAAACAATGGTAACTTTAAAAATCTCAACCCTTGAGAATATCTTTTTAATGCTGTGTTATAAAATGGAAGTATGCATGACAAAGTATGATGTTTGTCTTAAGGAAAAGTACGTGTGTGATTTTTGAGTTGTGAACTAAACTAGCTGTTTTCATGGATCACCTTTTCTACTTGGAAGAACAACTGACATACAGTGGTTATGCAGACATGGGTTTCAGGTAAAGACTTGAAAGTGAGCCTGCCGTTTAAAGAAAAACAACTGATTGTATTTGTTTCCAGTAATAAGTGTTTTCAAGGAAAAATTATAAATTTTGCATAGTAGAAAAAAGAATGCCCCTTCCCTTACAAGACTCATACCCAAAGCCCCATGAGTATATTATGATACATGACAAAATGGACTTTACAAATATAATTAAGGTTCCAAACCTTAAGATAGGGAGATTATACTGGGTTTTCCCAGCAGGATCAATCTAATCACACAAACTAATAAATAAATAAATAAATAAATAAATAAATAAATAAATAAGCAGGAATCTTTTATCTGGAAGCAAAGAGATGAGCCATAAGAGGAATTCAGAGAAACTGAAAGTATAAGAAGGACTCAACATGCTGTTCCAAGTTTGAAGATGAAGAGAATATTATGACGTGCAATACAGGTGTCCTTAAGGAGCTGAGAGCTTCCCCGGATGACATGCTATCAGGAAATGGGGACCACAGACCAATAACCATATGGAACTTAATTCTATTAACAACCTGAATGAGCCTGGAACCAGGTTCTTCACCAGAGCCTACAGGCTGGCCAGTACCTTGATTTCAACCTTGTGAGACTCAGAGCAGAAGAACAGCTGAGGCCAGCTGGACTTCTGAATTATGCAAATGTGAGATTATAAATGTGTGCTGTTTTGAGATGTTAAGTTTTGATAAATTTTATAGCAACAATAGAAAATGAATACATTTGAAACGTTTTTATTTGCTACCTTAAGCTTGACAGACATTTCTCAAGAGATCAGTGGTGATATTAATATGTTTTTGACATTATATAATGAAATGTGTCAACATATGGAAGATCTGCAGTAACTCATTCAACCAATATTTCTCAAAAGCTACTACAAAGTCACACATGAGCGGAAAATCTCTTCAGATTACGAGTCCAAAACTACAAAAATTTATTGATACGGTTTCAGGTTTTCAGGTACTATTTACTTTTAAAAAGCTCTCACTTACTGAGTTTTTTGTTGTAGCATTAAAGAACAGCCATAATGATGTGAAAAGACTGTTAGGCTACTTTATCCCTTTCCTACAAAATATTTCAACTAAAAATATCTCAACAAGGCTTGGTACGGTGGCTCATGCCTGTAATCCCAGCACTTTGGAAGGCCGAGGTGGGCAGATCACGAGGTCAGGAGTTGAAGACCAGCCTGGCCAACATAGTGAAACCCTGCCTCTACTAAAAATACAAAAATTAGCCAGATGTAGTGGCATGAACCTGTAGTCCCAGCTATTCGGGAGGCTAAGGCGGGAGAATTGCTTGAACCCAGGAGGTGGAGGTTGCAGTGAGCTGAGACCGTGCCATTGCATTCCAGTCTGGGTGACAGAGTGAGACTCCGTCTTAAAAAACAAACAAACAAACTCAGCAAACTGAATGCAGAAGTGTTTATGAGAATACAACTACCTTTTATTAAGCCAGATACATAGACATTAAGCAGATTTGCAAAATGTAAACTAATGCTGCTCATATCACTTTTATATTTTGGAAAATGCAATTATTAACACATTTCTTTACAAAAAAATGAGTTTTTATCGAAATTAATGTGAATTTAAAATTGTTTTAACTTCATAATATATATAGAGAAAGACATCAATAGATACCCCATATAAATATATAAACATTATAACCCACATAAACATTTTGGGTTATTATTATTATTATTATTTTTGAGACAGGGTTTCACTTTGTCACACTGGCTGGCATGATCATGGCTCACTGCAGCGTCTGTAGCCTCCACCTCCTGGGCCCAAGTGATCCTCCTACCTCAGCCTCCCAAGCAGCTGGAACCACAGTCATACAACTACCATGCCTGGCTAGTTGTTTATTTTGTGTAGAGTTGGGGGGGTCTCCTTATGTTGCCCAGACTGATCTCAAACACCTGGGCTCAAACAATCCTCCTGAATTGGCCTCCCAAAGTGCTGGGATTACAGGTGTGAGCCACCATTCCTACCCTGCATTTCTTAATAGTTTCCAATGTGTAAGGGATTTTGAGATAAAAACTTCGGGAACCACTGACCTTGCTAGCCCCCAAGAACACAGACTGTCTATAAAGAAATCTGGCTGCTAAGTTCCATACAAAAAGATAAGAACCCTATTTCTATGTGTACCATAGTTTTGAATTTGAGCTTTGAACTGACTGAAAAATCAACATGAAAAAAGTCTTTTTTTAAATCTTTACAGATCAGTCTTCTTTTAATTGTCCAGGTTAAGTTTACTTTCCTTGCATTCTCACCCCGTTTGTCATCAGGAAAAACATGGAATTCAAAACAAAATGTGATCAGTTGTAGAAATAAATTGTACTTTACCTCTATTTGGTAAATGAGAAAGTTGAGGTTCACAGAGCATTAACATCACTCTTTGCTTAAATAGTTTCCTATTGCTCTTTGAGTATTATATAAATTCCTGTGCAGATACTTCCTAGTGTGTCCATTTTCTTGGTAGTGTTATCTGCAACCAAAATTCTATACCCCATGTACTTTAGGTACTACACAAATCAGGTGATTTTATACTTCCTGAATACATCAACAGGTTATTTTTTCTTCCCAAGTTCTATAAATGTATTTTTCTCTCTAGAAGATCCTTTTCCTTCTGATCCACCTGCAGATTCTATACCTATAGAAAGATAATACATATGTCGTCTCTTATCTGAAGGCTACTTTGACTAACTTCTTTAAGACCTTGATCAAGCATGATTAATGTCTTCCTTCTCTTTCTCCTATTTTATACTTATATTTATAATGGTACTATACATTTTAATGGGATGATTTGCAGAATTCTACTTTTTCACTTTTGACTTTCCATTATACTTTTTATTTCTTCTCTACTCATCCCATGTGTCACTGCATTCATATTGGCAGCATAACTTTTAATTCACCTGAATAAGTCAAAATGCAGTTTCCTAGGGTGCTGAAGACATACTGTAACAGAAAAGCCAAAAAAAGTTGTTAGTCTTGCCCACTCCACTATGAATCCTTGGAAAACAGGATTCTGTCTTCATAGTCGCAACATACTTCTTGGCACATTTAGATGCTGAGAAAATATGTGACTGATTCATGCATGAATGATGAATTGTTTGAATTGGATAGTCTCTCTAAAACTCCTTTTCATTCTTTAGCCCTGTCTTTTTGTCTGAACCTCCTCACCTCTTTTCATTATTCTTTTCTGCCTGGTTTTGTTTTGCTTTTCCTTTGTATTATATATATCTATATATCTATATATATATATCTCCACATATAATTCAAAATTATAGAATTATGATTATATAATTCTATATAATTCTACATCTATTTTACACATAGATGTAGAATACATATGTCGAATTTTTTTTCTATTTTCCTTTTAAAATAAAAACACTTGAACAGACCTCTGTTTTAAAATGGCATTTAGTCAGCAGCCTCAGATGTAGAATTTCCCATCTCTCATTCTTTTCAACAGTGGGTGCTTGGAGATAACTTGGAAATTTCACATCACTTCACTAACAGAAGCAAAGACAAACTACCTAACTTTTGCCATTATACCAAAGGGATATCAATTTTTTTTCTATTTTATTTGAAGTTCAGGGGTACATACGCAGGATGTGCAGGTTTGTTACATAAGTAAACGTGTACCATGGTGGTTTGCTGCACAGATCATCCCATCACCTAGGTATTAAGCCCAGCATCCATTAACTATTCTTCCCGATGCTCTCCCTCCTCCCCCAACCACCCTTAGGCCTTAATGTGTGTTGTTCTTCTCCATGTGTTCTCATTGTTTAGCTCCCACTTATAAGTGAGAAAATGCAATATTTGCTTTTCTGTTCCTGGGTTAGTTTTCTGAGGATCATGGCCTTCAGTTCCATCTGTGTCCCTACGGAGGACATGATCTTGCTCCCTTTATGGCTGCATAGTATTCCATGGTGTGTATGTACCACATCATCTTTATCCAGTTTATCATTGATGGACATTTATTCCATGTCTTTCCTATTGTGAACGGTGCTGCAATGAACATATGAGTGCATGCACATTTATAGTAGAATGTTTTATATTCCTTTGGATATATACCCAGTAATGGGATTGTTGGGTAAAATGGTATTTTTGCCTCTTGGTCTTTGAGGAATCAACACACACTGTCTTCCACAATGGATGAACTTATTTATACTTCCACCAACAGTGTAAAAGTGTTTTGTTTTGTTTTGTTTTCTCCACAACCTCACCATCATTAGTGGTTATTTGATTTTTTAATAGTAGCCATCTGACTGGTGTGAGATGGTATCTCGTTGTGGTTTTGATTTGCATTTCTCTAATGATCAGTGATGTTGAACATTTCTCAGTGTTTGCTGGCTGCATGCATGTCTTCTTTTGAGAAGTATCTGTTCATGTTCTTTTCCCACTTTCTACTGGTTTTTTTTTTCTTATAAATTTGTTTAAATACATTGTAGATGCTGGATATCAGACCTTTGTCAGATCGATAGACTGAAATAATTTTCTCCCATTCTGTAGGATGTCTGATCACTCTGATAATTTCCTTTGCTGTGCAGAAGCTCTTTAGTTTAATTAGACTCCAATTGTCAATTTTTGCTTTTGTTGCAATTGCTTTTGGTATCTTTGTCATGAAATCTTTGCTTATGCTTTATCCTGAATGATATTGTGGAGATTTTCTTCCAGGGTTTTATAGTTTGGGGTTTTACATTTAAGCCTTTAAGCCATCTCCAGTTGATTTTTGTGTGTGGTGTAAGGAAGGGATCCAATTTCAGTTTCTACATATGGCTAGCTAGTTCCTCCAAAACCATTTATTAAACAGGAAATCCTTTCCCCATTGTTTGTTTTTGTCAGGTTTGTCAAAGATCAGGTGGTTGAAGGTGTGCGGTCTTATTTCTGAGTTCTCTGTTCTGTTACATTGGTCTATGCGTCTTTGCTCTTTAGCAGTACATGCTGTTTTGGTTACGCTAGCCTTGTAGCATAGTTTGAAGTTGGGTAGTGTGATGCCTCTAGCTTTGTTCTTTCTGCTTAGAATTGTCTTGGCTATTCAGGTTCTTTTCTTGTTCCATATAAATTTTAAAATAGTTCTAATATTTTGAAGAATGTCAATGTTAGTTTAATTGAAATAGCACTGAATCTATAAATTATTTTGGGCAATATGGCCATTTTCATGATATTGATTCTTCCTATCTGCGAGCATGGAATGTTTTACCACTTGTTTGTGTCCTCTCTGATTTTTCTGAGCAGTGGTTTGTAGCTCTTCTTGAAGAGGTGTTTCACTTCCCTTGTTAGCTGTATTCCTAGGTATTTTGTTCTTTTTGTGGCAATTGTGAATGAGAGTTAATTTATGATTTGGCTTTCCTCTTGTCTATTGTTGGTGTACAGGAATGCTAGTGATTTTTGCACGTTGATTTTGTATCCTGAGACTATCCTGAAGTTGCTTATTAGCTGAAAGAGCTTTGGGGCTGAGACGATATGGTTTTCTAGATATAGGATCATGTCATCTGCAAACAAAGACAATTTGACTTCCTCTCTTCCTATTTGAATACCCTTTATTTCTCTTGCCTGATTTCCCTGGCCAGAACTTCCAATATTATATTGAATAGGAGTGGTAAGAGAGGGCGTCTTTGTCTTGTGCCAGTTGTCAAGGGGAATGCTTCTAGCTTTTACCCATGCAATATGATATTGGCTGTGAGTTTGTCATATATGGCTTTTATTATTTTGGGATATGTTCCAGTATCATCCTGATACCGGCAGAGATATAACAACAACAACAACAAAAAAACTTGATGAACATTGATCCAAAACTCCTCAACAAAATACTGGCAAACCAAATCTAGCAGCACATCAAAAAGCTTATCCACCATGATCAAGTAGGCTTCATCCCCGGCATGCAAGATTGGTTCAACACATGTAAATCAATAAATGTGATTCATCACATAAACAGATCTAAAGAAAAAAACCACATGATTATCTCAATAGATGCAGAAAAAGTCTTCAATAAAATTCCTTTATGTTAAAACCTCTCAATAAACTAGGGGTATACATTGAGAAAAACTATCAGTTATCCATTCCTGGTTCAAACAATTAGATGATGATGACCCTCATTTTGACTCTAAAAAATGTGGCTACCAACTAGCTTGCAATGTTTGCTGAACGCACAGCAAATCAATAATGCGGTCATTGCATTTACCCTTTGAGTTCAATAAACCCCTTTTAGGTTTGTATAGTTTTCATTCATTTTACAAAAAAGTAGAAGGAAAAAAGAGAGTAAAAATAACTTTAAAATAGTAAGAATGTAAACATAGCTACACTTTTGTTTTAAGAAAATATTGGTGTACAAACATGAAAGATATAAGAATGAAAGGTCAAAGAGCACTGTCATAAATACATTTAGCAAAATGGGATGATCTAGGTTTTCTTGTAAAATATTGAGAAGTTAGATCCTTCATGTTTCATGACTAACAGGTTGAGAGTACATATTTTATTTTTCTTTTTTTTTTTTTTTTTTTTTTTTTGAGATGGAGTCTTGTTCTGTCCCCCAGGCTGGAGTGCAGTGGCGTGATCTCAGCTCACTGCAAGCTCCGCCTCCCAGGTTATTTTTCATGATCATCTCCATCTTCCCACCCACCACCAACCCTTAAATTGGCCCCAGCATGTGTTGCTCACCTCTGTGTGTTCATGTGTTCTCATCATTTAGCTTCCATTTGTAAGTGAGAATATGCAGTATTTGATTTTTCTGTTCTTGTGTTGGTTTGCTAAGGATGATGGACTCCAGCTCCATCCATGTTCCTGCAATGGACATGATCTCTTTCTTTTTTGTAGCTGCATAGTATTCTATGATGTATACGTACCACATTTTCTTTATCCAGTCTATCATTGATGGGTATTTAGGTTGATTCCATGTCATTGCTATTGTGAATAGTGTTGCAATGAACATACGTGTGCATGTGTCTTTATGACAGAACAATTTATGTTCCTTTGGGTGTATACCCAGTAATAAGATTGTGGGTCGAATGGTATTTCTTTTTTCAGGTCTTTGAGTAAACACCACACTATTTTACATAATGGCTGAACTAATTTACAGTCCCATCAAGAGTGTATAAGCATTTCTTTTTTTCCATAGCCTCACCAGGATCTGTTATTTTTAGACTTAATAGTAGCCATTCTGGCTGTTGGTATCTCATTGTGGTTTTGATTTGCATTTTGCTAATGATCAGTGATGCTGAGCTTTCTTTTCTATGATTGTTGCCTGCATGTATGTCATTTTTTGAAAAGTGGCTGTTCATGTCTTTTGCCTAATTTTTAATGGGGTTGTTTTTTCTTGTGCGTTTGTTTAAGCTACTTATAGTTGCTGGATATTAGACCTTTGTCAGATGCATAATTTGCAAAATTTTTCTCCCATTCTGTACGTCCTCTGTTCACTCTGTTAATAGTTTCTTTTGCTGTACAGAAGCTCTTTAATTAGATCCCATTTGTCAATTTTTGATTGTTACAATTGCTCTTGGCATCTTCATCATGAAATATTTGCTCATGCCTATGTCCCTAATGGTATTGCCTAGGTTGTCTTCCAGGGTTTTTACAGTTTCGGGTTTTGCATTTTAGCCTTTATCTTGACTTAATTTTTGTATATTGTGTGAGGAAGAGGTCTAGTGTTGGGAGCAGGCCCCCCAAAATCTGGCCATAAACTGGCCCTAAAACTGGCCATAAACAAAATCTCTGCAGCACTGTGACATGTTCATGATGGCCATAACACCCACTCTGGAAGGTTGTGGGTTTACCAGAATGAGGGCAAGGAACACCTGGCCCGCCCAGGGTGGAAAACAGCTTAAAGGCATTCTTAAGCCACAAACAATAGCATGAGCGATCTGTGCCTTAAGGACATGCTCTTGCTGCAGTTAACTAGCCCAACCTATTCCTTTAATTCAGCCCATCCCTTCATTTCCCATAAGGGATACTTTTAGTTAATTTAATATCTATAGAAACAATGCTAATGACTGGCTTGCTGTTAATAAATACGTAGGTAAATCTCTGTTCGGGGCTCTCAGCTCTGAAGGCTGTGAGACCCCTGGTTTCCCACTTCACACCTCTATATTTCTGTGTGTGTGTCTTTAATTCCTCTAGCACCGCTGGGTTAGGGTCTCCCAAACCAAGCTGGTCTTGGCAGTCTAGTGTTTCAGTCTTCTGTATGTGGCTAGCCAGTTATCGCTGCACCATTTATTGAATGGGGAATCCTTTTTTCACTGCTTGTTTTTGTAAGGTTTGTCAAAAATTGGGTAGTTGTCAATGTGTGGTCTTTTCCTGGGTTATCAATTCCATTACATTGGTCTATGTGTCTGTTCTGGTACCAGTACCATGCTGTTTTGATTACCGTAGCTCAGTAGTTTAGTTTGTTGTTGAGTAGCATGCTGCCTCTAGCTTTGTTCTTTCTGCTTAGGATTGCCTTGGCTACTTGGGCTCTTTTTTGGTTCCATCAGAATTTTGAAAGAGTTTTTCCTAGTTCTGTGAAGTCTTTAATCCATCTTGAGTAAATTTTTATAAGGTCTAAAGAAGGGGTCCAGTTTCAGTTTTCTGCATATGGCTAGCCAGTTTTCCAAGTACCATTTATTAAATAGTGTATGCTTTCCCCATTGCTTGTTTTTTGTCTCATTTGTCTGATATCTGATAGTTTTAGGTGTGTGATCTTATGTCTGGGTTTTCTATTGTGTTCCATTAGTCTATGTGTCTGTTCTTATACCAGTACCATGCTGTTTTGGTTACTATAGCCCTGTAGTATAGTTTTAAGTTGGGTAGCATGATGCCTCCAGCTTTGTTCTTGTTGCTTTGGATTGCCTTGGTTACCTTGGGCTCTTTTTTGGTTCCATATGAATTTTAAAATAGGTTTGTCTAGTCCTTTAAAAAATGTCATTGGTATTTTAATAGGCATATCATTAAATCTATAAATAGTTTTGGGCAGCATAGCCATTTTCACAATATTGATTCTATCCATGAGCATGGAATGTTTTTCCATTTGTTTGGACCATCTCTGATTTCTTTTAGCAGTGTTTTGTAGCTTTCCTTGCGGAGATCTTTCATCTCTGTACTTAGACATGTTCCTAAGGTTTTTGTGTTTTTTTGGTTGTTGTTGCTGCTGCTGTTCTTTTTGTTTTGTTGTTGGCAATTGCAAATGGGATTGCATTTCTGATTTGGCTCTCGGCTTTACTGTTTTTGGGGTATAGGAGCGCTAGTGATTTTTGCATTGATTTTACATCCTGAGACTTCGAAGAAGTTGCTTACTAGGTTAAGGATCTTTTGAGCCAAGACTATGGGATTTTCTAGATATAGGATCATGTCAACTACAAACAGGAATAGTTTGACTTCCTCTCTTCCTGTTTGGATGCCCATTATTTTTTTTCTCTTGCCTGATGGCTCTCTCTAGGTTCTAATACTATGTGAATAGTAGTGGTGTGAGAGGGCATTCTTGTCTTGTGCCAGTTTTCAAGGGGAATGCTTCCAGGTTTTGCCCATTTAGTATGATATCAGCTGTGGGTATTCCATATATGGTTCTTATTATTTTGAGGCACGTTCCTTCAATACCTAGTTCATCATGAGTTTTAAAGAGTTCTTATCAGGAAGAAGTGTTCAATTTAATGTAAAGTCTTTTCTGCAACTATTAAGATAATTATGCGCTTTTTGTCTTTAGTTCCATGTATGTGATAAATCACATTTATTGATTTGTGTGTGTTGAACCAACCTTTCATCCCAGGGATAAAGCCTATTTGATCGTGGTAGATAAGCTTTTTGATATGCTGTTAGGTTTGTTTTGCCAGTATTTCATTAATGATTTTTGCATTGATGTTCATTGAAGATATTGACCTGAAGTAGTGTGTGTGTGTATGTGTCTGTATGTGCATGCACATGTGTGTGTGTGTGTGTGTGTGTTTTCCAGGTTTTGGTATCAGGATGATGCTGGCCACACAGAATGCATTAGCGAGGACTTCCTCCTCCTCAATTTTTTTTTTAACTTTAAGTTCCGGGATACATGTGCAGAACATGCAGGTTTATTACATAGGTATATGTGTGCCATGGTGGTTTGCTGCACCTATTGACCCATCCTCTAAGTTCCCTCCCCTTGCTCGCCAACCCCCAACAGACTCTTGTGTGTTATTCACCTTCCTGTGTCCATGTGTTCTCTTTGTTCAACTCCCACTTATGAGTGAGAACATGTGTTGGTTGGTTTTCTGTTCCTGTGTTAGTTTGCTGAGGATGATGGCTTCCAGCTTCATCCATGTCCCTGCAAAGGACATGATCTCACTCCTTTCTATGGCTTTGTAGTATTTCATGATGTATGTTTACCCCATTTTCTTTATCCAGTCTATCATTGATGGGCATTTGGGTTGGTTCCATGACTTTCCTATTGTTAATAGTGTTGCAGTCAACAAACATGTGCATGTGTCTTTATGGTAGAATGATTTATATTCCTTTGGGTATATAGCCAGTAATGAGATTGCTGGGTCAAATAGTATTTCTGTTTCTAGATCCTTGCAGAATCCCATACTGTCTTCCACAGTGGTTGAACTAATTTACTTTCCCATCAACAGCATAAAAGCATTCGTATTTCTCCACAGCCATGCCAGCATCTGTTATTTACTGACATTTAGTAATAGCCATTCTGACAGTAATGAGATGGTATCTCATTATGGTTTTGATTTGCATTTCTCTAATGATCAATGATATTGAGCTTTTTTTTGTATGTTTGTTGGCCACGTAAATGTTTTCTTTTGAGAAGTGTCTGTTCGTATCTTCTGCTCACTTTTTGATGGGTTTGTTTATTTATTTCTTGTAAATTTGCTTAAGTTCTTTGTAGATTCTGGATATTAGCCCTTTGTCAGATGGGTAGATTGCAAAAACTTTCTCCCATTCTGTATGCTTCCTGTTTATTCTGTTGGTAGTTTCTTTTGCTGTGCAGAAGCTCTTTAGTTTAACTAGATCTCATTTGTCAGTTTTGGCATTTGTTGCAATTGCGTTAGGCATTTTCGTCATGAAGTCTTGGCCTATGCCTATGTCCTGAATGGCATTGCCTGGGTTTTCTGCCACAGTTTTTATAGTTTTGGGTTTTACATTTAAGTCTTTATTCCATCTTGAGTTAACTTTTGTACAAGGCATAAGGAAGGGATCCAGTTTCAGTTTTCCGCATATGGCTAGCCAGTTTTCCCAGCATCATTTATTGAAGAGGAGATTCTTTCCGCATTGCTTTTGTCAGGTTTGTCGAAGATCACATCATTGTAGATGTATGGTGTTATTTCTGAGGTCTCTCTTCTGTTCCATTGGTCTATATGTCTGTTTTTGTACCAGTGTCATGCTGTTTTGTTTACTGGTGCCTTGTAATATAGTTTGAAGTCAGGTAGTGTGATACCTCCAGCTTCGTTCTTTTTGCTTAGGATTGTCTTGGCTATATGGGGTCTTCTTTGATTCCAAATGAAATTTAAAGTAGTTTTTTCTAATTATTTGAAGAAAGTCAATAGTAGTGTGATGGGAATAGTATTGAATCTATAAATTACTTTGGGCAGGATGGCGATTTTCACAATATTGATTCTTCCTATCCATGAGGATGGAGTGTTTTTCCATTCGTTTGTGTCCTCTCTGATTTCCTTGAGCAGTGGTTTGTAGTTATCCTTGAAGAGGTCCTTCATATCTCTTGTTAGCTGTATTCCTAGATATTTTATTCTCTTTGTAGTGATTGTGAATGGGAGTTCATTCATGATTTGGATCTCTGCATGTCTATTGTTGGTGTAAAGAAATGCTTGTGATTTTTGCACATTAATTTTGTATCCTGAGACTTTGCTGAAGTTGCTTATAAGTGTAAGGAGTTTTAGGCTGAGATGATGGGATTTTCTAAATATAAAATCATGTCATCTACAAACAGAGACAATTCAAATTCCTCTCTTCCTACTTGAATACGCTTTATTTCTTTCTCTTGCCTGATTGCCCTGGGCAGAACTTCCAATAATATGTTGAATAAGAGTGGTGTGAGAGGGCATCCTTGTCTTGTGCTGGCTTTCAAAGGGAATGCTTCCAGCTTTTACCCATCCAATATGATATTGGCTGTGGATTTTTCATAAATAGCTCTTATTATTGTGAAATATGTTCCATCAATACCTAGTTTATTGAGAGTTTTTAACATGAGGGGATGTTGAATTTTGTCAAAGGCCTTTTCTGCATCTATTGAGATAATCATGTGGTTCTTGTCTTTGGTTCTGTTTATGTGATGGATAACATTTATTGATTTGCATATGTTGAACAAGCTTTGCATCCCAGGGATGAAGCTGACTTGATTGTAGTAGAGAAGATTTTTGTGCTGCTGGATTCAGTGTGCCAGTACTTTATTGAGGATTTTGGCATCAATGTTCATCAGGAATATTGGCCTGGAGTTTTCTTGTTTTGTTGTCTTTGCCCAGTTTTGGTATCAAGATGATGCTGGCTTCTTAAAATGAGTCCCTCTTTTTCAGTTGTTTGGAATAGTTTTAGAAGAAATGATACCAGCTGCTCTTTGTATTTCTGGTAAAATTAGGCTGTGAGTCCATCTGGATCTGTGCTTTTTTTGATTGGTAGGCTATTAATTACTAACTCAGTTTCAGAACTTGTTATTGGTCTATTCAGGAATTCAACTTCTTCCTGGTTTAGTCTTGGGAGGGTGTATGTGTCCAGAAATTTATCCATTTCTTCTAGATTTTCTAGTTTATTTGTGTAGAGGTGTTTAGAGTATTCTCTGATGGTGGTTTGTATTTTTGTGGGGTCAGTGGTGATATCCCCTTATCATCTTTTATTTATTGTGTCTATTTGATTCTTCTTTCTTTTTTCTTTATTAGTCTAGCTAGCCATCCATTTTATTAATTTTTTCAAAAAAAAACAGCTTCTGGATTCATTGATTTTTTGAAGGGTTTTTCTTGTCTCTATCTCCTGTTCAGCTTTGATCTTAGTTATTTCTGGCATTTTTGGATTAGTTTGCTCTTTCCTCTCTAGCTCTTTTAATTGGTGATGTTATGGTGTAGATTTATAATCTTTTAGCTTTCTAATGTGGGCATTTAGTGGTGTAAATTTCCCACTTACCACTGCTTTAGTGGTGTCCCAGAGATTCTGGTATGTTGTCTCTTTGTTCTCATTGGTTTCAAAGAAATTATTGATTCATGGACACAGGAAGGGGAACATCACACTCTGGGGACTGTTGTGGGGTCGGGGGAGGGAGGAGGGATAGCTTTAGGAGCTATACCTAATGCTAAAGGATGAGTTAATGGGTACAGCACACCAGCATGGCACATGTATACATATGTAACTAACCTGCACATTGTGCACATGTACCCTAAAACTTAAAGTATAATAATAATAAAATAAAAAAATAAAAGAAATTCTTGATTCTACATTAAATTCATTATTTACCCAGGAATCATTGAGGTGAAGGTTGTTCATTTTCCATGTAATTGTATGGGTTTGAGTGAATTTCTTAATCCTGAGTTCTAATTTGATTGCATTGTGTTGTGAGATACTGTTTGTTAGGATTTCAGTTGTTTTGCATTTGCTGAGGAGTGTTTTATTTCCCATTATGTAGTCAATTTTAAAATAAGTGTCGTGTGGCACGGAGAAGAATGTATAGTCTGTTGATTTGGGGTGAAGAGTTCTGTAGATATCTATTAGGTCCACTTGATCAAGAGCTGAGTTCAATTCCTGAATATCCTTGTTAATTTTCTTTTTCTCTGATCTGTCTAGTATTGACAGTGGAGTGTTAAAGTCTCCCACTATTATTGTGTGGGAGTCTAAGTCTTGTTGTATGTTTCCAAGAACTTGTTTTATGAATCTGGGTGCTCCTGTATTGAGTGCATATATATTTAGAATAGTTAGCTCTTCTTGTTGAATTGTTCCCTTTACCATTATGTAATGCCTTTCTTTGTCTTTTTTGATCTTTGTTGGTTTAAAGTCTGTTTTGTCAGAGACTAGTATTGCAACCCCTGCTTTCTTTTGGTTTCCATTTGGTTGGTAAATTTTCCTCCATCTCTTTATTTTGAGCCCATACGTGTCTTTGCACATGAGAAGGGTCTCCTGAATACAGCACCCTGATGGGTCTTGACTCTTTATCCAATTTGCCAGTCAGTGTCTTTTAATTGGAATATTTAGCCCATTTACTTAAGGTTAGTATTGTTATGTTTGAATTTGATCCTGTCATCATGATGCTGTCTGGTTATTTTGCACAGTAGTTGATGTGGTTTCTTCAGAGGGTCATTGGTCTTTATATTTGGGTGTGTTTTTGCAGTGGTTGGTACTGGTTTTTCCTTTCCGTATTTAGTGCTTCATTCAGGAGCTCTGGCAAGGCAGGCCTGGTGGTAACAAAATCCCTCAACATTTGTTTGTCTGGAAAGGATTTTGTTTCTCCTTTGCTTGTGAATGAAACTTAGTTTGGCTGGATATGAAATTCTGGGTTGAAAATGATTTTCTTTAAGAATGTTGAATACTGGCCCCCAGTATCTTCTGGCTTGTAGAGTTTCTGCTGAGAGGTCTGCTGTTAGCCTGATGGGCTTCCCTTATAGGTTACCTGGCCTTTATTTCTGGCTGCCCTTAACAGTTTTTCCTTCATTTGACCTTGGATAATCTGATGATTATGTGTTGATTATGTGATGATTATGGGTTGATCTTCTCATGGAGTATCTTAGTGGTATTCTCTGTATTTTCTGAATTTGCATGTTGGCCTGTCTTGCTAGGTTGGGGAAGTTCTCCTGGATAATATCCTGAAGTGTGTTTTCTACCTTCTTTCCATTATCCCCATCTCCTCCATGTACTCTAATCAATCATAGGTTTGTTCTTTTTATGAAGTCCCATATTTAATGGAGGCTTTGTTCATTCCTTTTTTTTCTTTTTTCTCCATTCTTGTCTGCATGTCTTATTGCAATAAGTTGATCTTCAATCTCTGATACCCTTTCTTCTGCTTAATCAATTCGGCTACTGATACTTGTGTATGCTTCACAAAGTTCTCATGCTGTGTTTTTCAGCTCTATCAGATTATTTATGTTCCTCTCTAAACTGATTATTACAGTTAGCAGCTCCTCTAACCTTTTATCAAGGTTCTTAGCTTCTTTGCATTGGGTTACAGCATGCTCCTTCACCTCAGCAGAATTTTTTATTAGCCATCTTCTGAAACTTACTTCTATCAATTCATCCATCTCATACTCCCTCCAGTTCTGCATCCTTGCTGGAGAGGCACTGCAATCATTTGGAGGAGAAGAGGCAGTCTGGCCTTTTGGATTTTCAGCATTTAATCATTGATTCTTTCTCAGCTTCATGAGTTTGTCTAGTTTTGATCTTTGAGGCTGCTGCTTTGGATGGGCTTTTTGCGGGGACTTTTTTTTTGTTGATGCTGTTGTTGCTTTGTTTGTTTTTCTTTCAAGGGTCAGGTCTCTGTTCTGTAGGACTGCTACAGTTTGCTGGGGTTTCACTTCAGGCCCTATTCATCAGGTTCACTACCATGCCTGGAGATGTCACTCAAGGAGGCTGGAGAACAGCAAAGATGGGTGCCTACTCCTTCTGGGATCTCTGACCTGAAGTGACACCAACCTGATGCCAGTAGGATTGTTCCTGTATAGGCTGTCTGACAACCCCTGTCAGAGGGTCTCACCCAGCTGGGTGGTGTGGGGAACAGGACCCATTTAATGAAGCACTTGACTGTCTCTTGGTGGAGGGGGTGTGCTTCACTGGGGTGAAACCCACTTGTCTGGAACTGCCAGGAGGAAAGTCTAAGTCTGCTTGTCCACAGAGTCTGTGGCCACCCCTCCCTCTAGGGGCTCAGGCCTTTAGAGATCAAGGTTCTGTCCATAAGCCTCTGGCTGGAGTTGGAGTTCCTATAGGGAAACCCCACCCAGTGAGGAAGGATGGGTCAGGGTCAGGCCTGTAGAGGCAGTCTGGCCGCAGTCTGCCGTAGCCAGTGTTTTGGACTCTGGGGGACATCTCCTGGGAGCAAGCTATCCAGCTTCCCTGGCTCCAGCAGGGGAAATGCATGGCCTGGAGCTATAGAGATGGATGCTGCCCTTCCCCCATCCAGGGAGCTTAGCATATTAGGCATTTATGAGTCCCTTTGCTGGTTGCTGCCCCTCCCCCAGGAGCTCAAAGGGCTTAGCAGGCAGCTGCAGCTGTGGTGCTGGTCTCCTCTCCCCTCAGGACCTCAGGAGGCTTAGGCAGGTTCCAGCTGAGAGGCTGTTGAGTATCTGCAGGGCTCCCAGATTTGGATCCTAGGACCCGCTGGCATGAGTTTGTGAGTGAGCTGTAAAGTTCCGTGGAAAAAGCACGGTTTCCCTGGCTGGGTAGCACTCCCTCACTGCCTCCCTTGGCTGGGGGATGTGGGGTGAGATCTCCCCTGCCCCGTGTGGCTCTCAGGTGGGCCACTGTACCACACTGCCCTTGCTTCCTCTCCATGGATCATGCCAGCCACCTAATCAGTTCTGATGAGAGAATCTGGATACCTGGTTGCCGGTGAAGGATTCATATGCTAATTATGGTTCTTTTCCATAGGAGCCTCTGATGGCTGCTGTTTCTAGTTGGCCATCTTGGCCCTGCCCCTTCTCCTTAACATTTATGGAATAGTTTCAAAAGGAATGGTATCATGTCTTCATTGTACATCAGGTAGAACACAGCTGTGAGGTCTTCTGGTTATGAAGTTTTTTTGGTTAGTAGGTTATTTATTACTGCCTCAATTTCAGAACTTGTCATTGGTCTATTCCACAATTCAGTTTCTTCCTTCTTCAGTTGTAAGAGGGTCTATGTGTCTAGGAATTTATCCACTGCTTCTAGATTTTCTAGTTTATGTGCATAAAAGTGTTCATAATGTTCTCTGGTGTTTGTATTTCTGTGTGGTCAGTGGTATTATCCCCCTTGTCACTTCTGATTGTGTTTATTTGAGTCTTCTTTTTTTTTTCTTATTAGTCTAGCTAGTGGTCTATTTTCTTAATTAAAAAAAAAACTAGCTCCTGGATTCGTTGATCTTTTGAATGACTTTACATGTCTCAGTCTCCTTCAGTTCACCTCTGATTTCGGTTATTTCTTGTCTTCTTCTAGCCTTGGGGTTGGTTTGCTCTTGGTTCTCTATTTGTTTTCATTGTGACCTTAGGTTGTTAAATTGAGATTCTCTAACTTTGATGTGGGCATTTAGTGCTATAAATTTCCCTCTCAACATTGCCTTAGCTGTGTCCCGAGATTCTGGTATGTTGTATCTTTGTTATAGTTAGTTTCAAATAACGTCTTGATTTCTGCCTTAATTTCATTATTTACCCAAAAGTAATTCAAGAGTAGATTATTTCATTTCCAAGTAATTGTATGGTTTTGAGTAAATTTCTTAGTCCCGATTTCTAATTTGATTATGCTGTGGTCTACGAAATAGATTGTTAGGATTTCAGTTTTTTCCATTTAGCTGAAGAGAGTTTTTTTTTTTTTGGACACAGAGTCTCGCTCTGTCTCCCAGGCTGGAGTGCAGTGGTGCTGTCTCGGCTCACTGCAAGCTCCGCCTCCTGGGTTAACGCCATTCTCCTGCCTCAACCTCCCGAGTAGCTGGGACTACAGGAGCCCGCCACCACATCCAGCTAAATTTTTGTATTTTTTAATAGAGACGGGGTTTCACCATGTTAGCTAGGATGGTCTCGATCTGACCTTGTGATCCACCCGCCTTGGCCTCCCAAAGTGCTGGGATTGCAGGCATGAGCCACCGTGCCTGGCTGAGAATACATATTTTCTTTATGGTCTTAAAAATACATTGTTCAGGGCTGGGAGCGGTGGCTCATGCCTGTAATCTCAGCACTTTGGTAGGCTGAGGCGGGCAGAACACCTGATGTTGGAAGTTCGAGATGAGCTTGGCCAACATGGAGAAACCCTGTCTCTACTAAAAGTACAGAATTAGCTGGGCGTGGTGACGCATGCCTGTTATCCCAGCTACTGGGGAGGCTGAGGTAGGAGAATCACTCGAACTCAAGACGCAGAGGTTGCAGTGAGCCGAGATCGCACCATTGCACTCCAGCCTGGGTGACAGGGCAAGACACCACCTCAAAAAAAAAAAAAAAAAAAAAAATTCCACAGAAGCAAGAGTGCACATTTGTCTTGATTAGTGTGGCAGTCATTAGGGCTATTGATTGAACATATTCAGTGACTTTTCTTAGGATATACAATAGGATTGCACTTCCTTGCCCCTCAGAAGTTGAGCTTCACCATGTGAGCACAGAAGTGATATGAATCTCTTCTGGGTGGAAGTTTTAAGCACCGTTTTGTGAATAACCACATTCTCTTGCCCCTGCTTTAGAAATATGTTAAGTATGAGTTGAGGTGGGTCCTCTGTCAGACTTTGCCCATGAGTGAACACAAGAAATAGAAGCTCCAGTTAATTTTTGATGGGCAACAACTTCTGTGGTCATAAACTCCCTTAAAAAATCTTTTTGGAAGGTGCAAGATGAAAAGCCACTAAAGAAAGAGTAAAGTGATTTATAGAAATACAGAAAAATAAATATCATGAAAAGTATGAAGGGAGGGTTTCAAAAAAAAAAAAAAACTTCAAACATACCCAAGCTGCTGATGGAGAGGGATGAGGAAGAGGAAGTAGAGGAGGATGGAGACTAAAATAAACAAGAAAGTTGTGTCCAAGAGCAAGAGGCCATCTATGATCCATAAAAGAAGAGATTCTGTGGTGGGGGAGCCACAGCGTCAGGACATAGGAAGTCAGTAAAGTATTCATTCCCTTGTGTATTCTCCTCCCCTTTAGTGTTGTCTGGACCTAATAACTTGCTTCTGCTGAGTAGATTGTGGCAAACTAATAGTATATCACTTCCAATATTAAGTTACAAAGAGACTGTGACCTAAGTCTTGGGTGTGCTTTCCCTCCCTTTCCATAAGGCATCTCACCCTTCCTGAGGTAGGCCAGCTGCCATGTCCTGAGGTAAACCTATGAAGAGGCCCATGAGAGGGAACTTAGACATGAATTTCTAGGACATTGAATCAGATCTTTCAACTCCAGGAAAGCCTTGAGATGACTGTTCCCACCTGCTGACAGCTTGACTGCAACCTTGTCAATAAGAACCTTAAGCCAGAGGCACCCAGTTATACTGTGTTGGGATTCTTGATCCACAGAAACTGTGAGATAATAAGTGCTTGTTGTTTTAAGCTGCTAATTTTGGGGGTTATTTATTACACAATATGTAAGTAATGTTCCATTAAGGCAAACGATACGTAAGATTATTCAGTGGCATTCTTATCATCACAGCCTTCTTTACATTCTTCTCCTTAGATTATTTCCCTTAATTTCTTACGTTCTCTTCAGTATTGCCATAATCCAGTTTCCTCTGTACCTAGTCATCTTTGACTTACATGTGATATTATATTTAGATCAGTTCCAAGATTGAGTCAGCCTGCATAGTAACCCTGCTCTCTTGACTTTGAGAGTAAGGTTGACTGGCATAGGTTGCCTCTATTTAGTCCTTATTTTTAAACACCATTGACTTTCAACATCAAAATGACTCTGTTGAACGGTATCCTAAAGGGTCTGTGCAAGGTGCTAATACAATAGTGTCCTTTCAAGAAGTTGAGTTGCCCAGGTCAGCTGAGTTTATAGGATTAGAAGTTATTCGAAGGTATTTCACATAAAGGTGATAGTTAAGTCCAAAAAAGAATAAGCCGTCTAAAGGTGAGAATGTAGGGCCTCAAAAAAGTTTGAAGTAATGTGTTTGTGTGTGTTGCCAAAGGGAAGGAGAGCAGAATAATTTCTTTTAGTCTTTTTTTTTTTTTTGTCACCTCGCCATTTGATAGCATTTGCTGACACCATCTAATTCATAGTAAAATATGCGATGAAAACTCTGGAAAAGCATTATTACCACTAACCCATTTCTCAAGAATATTGAAGAATTTTTTTGGGGATAGCCAAATTTCTAAAGTAATTGCCTGAGAGTAAATCTGTTGATATGGCAATAAGATGATGAAGAGATCATGGCGCTGTCCTCTAAATTTTCCTTAAGCCCACTGAGCTGTGAAGGCTGGGTCTAATGCACTTTGTTGCGATTTGAACCTCTGCTGAGAGTACATTATTAACAGTGTTGTAAAACAAGGCTGCCGAGGACTCGGGCCAAGAACCTCCCTGTAGTATAGAGGAACTAGGCAATGACTTTGCCTGCTGAAGCCAAATCAACTGACTTGTTCTGTCAAAACTACCAGTCAAGCTGCTTATTTGACACTGGGGAGAGAAAATGACCTGAAGATTGTCTGAATTTTGCTGTTTACAATCATCTCTGCTGGCACCATGCATGAAGACAGACTTATTACTAAAACTCTGTATTTCCACCTTTTATTCCCTAAGCTAATTTTTACTGTTAACACTGTAGTGATTAAAAGGATGGGCTTTATCACTTCTTGGCTTTTTGACTAAGATCAAGTGTAGAAACATCAGCTTCAAGGTCAAATAACTGGTCAGGAATTTGGCTTCATCCCCTAATAGTTCTAAATCTTTTCCCAAAAATAGATGAATCGTCTGAGTCTCAGTTTTCTCATCTGTAAACAGGCATCATAATAGTACCTAACTCCTAAGGTGGAGAGGGTTATAAAGACACAGGAGGAAATATATGGAAAACTTTTAGAATGTTGGCACATAGCATTTAATAAACTGTAGCTATTAATATTTTGCTATTATCAGTATTAATAGCTCTTAATTGTATTAAATTATCCATAAGCTTTAGTGAAAAATCCATTTATGTTTTAATTCCACTTATTTTTATTTTCATAGAACATTGAGCTCTTTTAAAGGACTACTGCTCTGATCAAAGTTAAAGAATTTAGTTTACAAAATTTAAAATATTTTCCTAAAGTTAAAGGTATAATTAAATATTATGATTACAAATATACCGAACTCTATAACTTTTGGGTCTTAAAGTGTATGTTTACTTCTCTATTTGATTTTTAATTTAAAATGTAATAACTGTACATTTATCAGTATTAAATTTTCTCTATTCACTGAAAAATCAACAGAATTGGGTTTTCCTTTAGGTTTGGGAAGAGATTGTCCCAAGTGTAATTTTTTTGAATATAATTTCAAATCAGTTGTTCTTGGTGTTTATTGCTTTATTCATTACTAACGAAAAAGCCATATTTTTCTATATGTTTGCATATATAAGGAATTGTGTGTTCATAATGCTTTCGTATATACCCCAGCTTAAGTGCTTTTCTGATGAACAGGTAAAAGTAGACAGATATTCATTTTTCTGCCAGCATGATCAACATTTAACTGGGAATACTAAATTTGTTTATTGTTTTTTATTTACCTTTTTCTCCCCAGAGACCATTATAATTCAACCGTCTTACTACATGAGGGTCAAGGTTGTTGTTTTTGTCTTTTCTGTTGTTAAAATATACACACCCTAAATATAGACAAAGAAATACATATTGGCAAGAAGACTGAGACGCTTGGAGGCCTTGGCCAGGACTTTCCATTAGTCACAGTCTGATTGATTAAATACTATCTAGGGCACTTTATTTAGTGGTATTTACACTAATGGTGGCATGAAGTCTTTGTTTATTTAACTACAAGAATTTCTGTAAAACTATATGGGTTTTTGAGAACAGTTCCATTACAGTCTATCTTGCTTACAAATTCATATATGTCAGGATCATATAATGACTGGACCCTCTAACCTTTTGTTAAAACAGATTTCTAGTTTTGAAACTTTCTTTTCTAAGTGTAACGACAGCATTTAGAACAGCCCTAGAATTTCAAAAATATCCCAAACCAAAAAATGTTTGATACTTTTACTAACTACAGCTTTGGAAATGCATTTATTCTTGAGGGATATTAAATAAAGAATAGGTGAGTGTTCTAGATATATTCATTTCAGAGCTATATGGCATGGATGTGGATCTCTAGCATATTGTAAAATATTAGTCCACAATATGTTTTACACCCAATGTAATTCTATTATTATTTCCAAGAAGATATTTTGCACTCTTGGATGTTGATTCATTAAATCACTTATTCAATGATTATTTATTGCCTGAAGCAATATTTTGAGTTCTGTAATTACAGTAGTGAACAAACAAGGTTACTTTCCTGAAGGAACTTACTCTTTGGACAAATAAGTCAATTCATACTGTGTCAGATGCTGAAAAAAAATGCAAAGAAAGGAAATAAAGCAAATGTAGAAGAAACAGGAATGCATTAAAGTTGAGAGGGATGGTATAATCACTCTAGATAGATAAGGCTTCTCTACAGTAATTATAAGGCTAAGGCAGAGGTAATGTTGGAGTATATAAGGAAATGAGAGGCCTAGCCATATTTAGGGTATTCCAGTAGACACGAGTATGATTGACATATTCAAGAAACAGTGTTAATGCTGATGTGGCTGAAGCAAAATGGACAAATGAGAAAGTAGTTGGGAATGAAGTTAAATGGTGGAGATGAAGGAGTTACCATATTGAGCCACTGGAAAACATTGTAGGGACCCTGGCTACTCCTCAAATTGAGATGACAAACATGGAAGAGTTTTTAGTAGAGGAGGGCACTAAGTTTTCTTAGGAGGATTCTATTACTGTTTTAGGAGGATTCTCTGGTTGCTATTCTGTAAGAAGAGACTGAAGAAAATGGAGCATGGGAACAGTCAGCAAGGTCAATTAGTAGTCCAAGTAAGATGAGAACTGAAAATTGGCTATCGACTTTAGCATTGTAAAGACCACCGTGATGACCTGATAAGAAAGCCACCACAGGTGGATTTTCCACAAGCAGACCGTGAGATGGACTTTGGCTAGCTGAATATTTATTAGAGATTTACACCTGTGGGAGAGAGGAGAAAGCTGTATTAGAGTAAGAATTTGAACGGAACAGTGATGCAGGCTCAAAAAAGCCTTGGACAATCCCATACATACATGAATTTAAATGAAATGTCAAGAGTGTCCTGCATTAAGCTTAAATATTTGGGTCTTTAAAACGTACCACAATAGTCACTGGATGTGTGCCTGCTAGGAGAGGCATGTGGTTGGACAAGGTAGCTCTCTGCAACTAACGCAAACCCTGAAAACCCTGAAAGCTGAAGTCTGTATGTTCGATGATGCAATACAAGTGAAAAACACCAACATAGGGGGAAATACTGGACCAATATCCCCCTGAAGCAGGAGAGAATAGGATCTAGCAGATCTTTGTATAAAATAGTGTTAACCAGTAGTTATCAGGATGTATGCATAGTAAGTGTAAGTCAACTACTTTCTTTTCTCAATTAAATATCTTTAGTAAAACTAAGTTTATGCCTATTAGAGGGAAACATATTAAAGGGAATCATAATTTTTCTACTCAATTAAAATTTCTCACTTTAATGGGTGAATCTAGAGAGATTTTCTTTCACAGACCTCTCATTGAATTATTGGTTTCAACAATATATAAAGATGTCATACTGTCATTACACTTAAAATTTGCTAGAACACTAGGAGATCACAATGAAAAATGTTTGTTTTTCTATTCATGAGATGTTGACTCTGAAGGTTTCTTGAAACCTGTGGTAGTGGCCATCATATTTTCACCCTCACCATAGGGCCGAAATGCACCCTTTAGGAGTGTAGGTGAGGTAATATAGAAATCCAGGGTTGAGCAATAGGGTGAAGGTCCTACTTGGATGACATATGTATTTCTTGTCAACTCAACTGCCTTTCAACACGGAGCATGCTGGACACATGGATACACTAAACTGAATAGAAACAAAATATGTAAAATAAGCTGCTTATATTCAAATGCTGTTTATGGCTATGTCACTATAACTCATATTTTGAAGTCTAAAAAGATAGCTATTATTAAAACTTCCTGGCTTTGTAGCAGACATGGTTTTAAAATTTATACTAGAAATGAATAAAACTACTAATGTGCCTTTTATGTGGAGGCAATTGAAAATACTAGGAAACCTATTTGTTGTAGTGGCGTTCATTCTGTTTAAGTGAGTTGAAGTCAGATAGAGGAAGTTTTAGGCAGAGATAACTAATGCAGACTCTTAAACTTTTGAAAAGTTAGTGAGAAAGGACATAGAAATTTCTCCTCTGGAGGACACTGAATAATACAGAGTTTGCAGACAAATGAGAACGGCAATTGATGACCTCTGCATGTTTCTTCAAACCTTAGGATTCTCTTCAGCTCTGTCCCAGAAGCGCTGTTTGCTGATGGCTGAACTACTTTATTTCTCTACGCCTCATTTCTCTTCCTGATAAATTTGTGAATGTTCTTCTAACACATCTGGTGGAATGGTTGTTAAGAAAACCCACCCCTGAAGATTATTTTAACCGACAGTTTTGATCCAAGAAAGTTACATCACTTGACATTAAAACATTCCTATATTTTCACAAACCTCTTTCTCAGAAAATGAATGAGAAATATACTATTGTATTAAGAGCTAGTCATTATTACTTACCAATGCCATGGCAAGAAAGAAAGGAATAAAGTCAGCAAAAATTTTCAAGTAACCAAATGTAGTTCACATAGGATTCCATTATCTTCCTTTTTTTGATTTAATCCAATCTTATTTCCACTATTCTCCAAAACATGCCAACCTCTCCAAGTAGGACATTCTATTGCCAGAAATGTTCTTTCTGCTCTAACTTATGCAAATCCTATTCACTCTTCAAATCACTATCTCTCATTATATATTCTTTGGCTATTTCAGATCTCATTGATCTTTCTTTACTCACAAATCCAATAGGCTTTATAGTTTGCAGAATATTCTCCTAGATTTAATTACATAAGTTCAGTAGTGTTGACTAGAGTTTCAATTGTCATATTCTATCACCAACTATACTATAACCTCTTAAAAATACAGAATTCAATATCTCCATTGCACCTAGCACTGTGCCCTGCTACTGAAAATCCCTTGATAAATTCTCTCAATACACCAAATTAGTGATGAGATTTCTAAAGTAACACTTTGTGCATCTCTAAAGAGCGCTGTTTAGATATGGTTTAAATATATACCTTTTAAATCAACGTGTAACCTTTTGAAGCTTTAATAAGCTATGCTTTTAAGTATTGACTGCAGTTTGCATTTTTCAAAGAGCACTGGCCTAGATAATTTGGATCAATTACCCTGAAAGTAGAATTAGCAGCCATTATTTATTTGTGAAGTCAGTGAAAAAGCTTTTAAAATCTCACAAAGAAATACAATTTTATTCTTTAATCTTAAAATAATTCAGAAAAGATACAGCAAAAATAATTATCTACTTAGGGAATATTCCTTAATGCTCCAGGGTTATAAACAATAAGCAAAGACATTCATTTAGAACAAAAATCTTGAAAAGTATTAACGTGAATGAAGGTGTGTACATATCAAAAACCCACCTCTAAAAGAGAGATTGGAATAATAGTATTACATATATTCAATGTTAACCTTAAAAACATACTATTATGAAAAATGGAAATATGAATGAGACAAATCAAAGTCAGGGTAGTAGTTCCCTGATGAAATGGGGAAGGAACATAAGATTGGGGAAGGTTATTAAGAGTAATTCAACCATATCTGTATTGCTTATTTAAAAAGAAGAGATCTGAAACAAATGTGGCAAAAGGATAACATTTTTAAATTCTGAATTAACTACCAGATATGAATATTGTTATATTCCTAATACACTTTGTATATTGTGGTTTGATTTTTTTAATTAAAAAATATTGGCATGTTACTTTTCAAGTTTCCTATTTTGACTAGAAAACCAAGATGGATAAATTCCTGAACACCTATACTCTCCCAAGTCTAAGCCAAAAAGAAATTCGTCCCCTGAACAGACCAATAATGAGCTCTGACATTGAGTCTGCAATAAATAGCCTACTAACAGAAAGCCCAGGACCAGTCAGATTCATAGCTAACTTCTACCAGGTGTTAAAAAGAAGACCTGGTACCATTCCTACTGAAACTATTACAGAAAATTGAGGAGGAGCATCTCCTCCATAACTAATTCTATGAAGCCAGCATCATCCTGATACAAAAACCTGACAGAGACACAGCACACACACACTTACACACACAAACTTTACGTCAATATCCTTGATGAACATCGATGCATAAATCCTCAACAAAATACCTACAAACTGAATCTAGCAGCATATCAAAAACTTAATCCACTATGATCAAGTAGGCTTTATCCCTGGGATGCAAGGTTGGTTCAACATATGCAAATCAATGAACGTGATTTATTACATAAGCAGAACTAATGACAAAAAAACACATGATTATATCAAAAGATGAAGAAAAGGCTTTAGATAAAATTCAACATCCTTTTATGTTAAGAACTCAATAAACTAAGCATTGAAGGAACAAACCTCAAAATAATTAAAGGCATCTGCAACAGCCAACATCATACTGAATGGGTAAAAGCAGGAAGCATTCCCCTTGAAAACTGGCCCAAGACAAGGATGCCATGTCTCACCATTCCTATTCAACATAGTATTGGCAGGACTGACCAGAGCAACCAAGCAAGAGAAAGAAATAAAGGGCATCCTAATAGGAAGAGAGACAGCTAAAATATCCCTGTTTGCTGACTACTTAATTCTATATCTAGAAAACCCCATAGTCTCAGCCCAAAAGCTCCTTCAGCTAATAAACAACTTCAGCAAAGTTTCGGGATACAAAATCAATGTAAAAAAATCACTAGTATTCCTATAGACTAATAACAGCCAAGCTAAGAGCCAAATCAGGAACACAATTCCATTCACAATTGCCGTAAAAAATACTTAGGGGCCTGGCACGGTGGCTCAAGCCTGTAATCCCAGAACTTTGGCAGGCTGAAGGGGGCAGATTGCAAGTTCAGGAGATTGAGACCATCTTGGCCAACATGGTGAAACCCCATCTCTGCTAAAAATACAAAAATTAGCTGGGTGTGTGGCATGTGCCTGTAATCCCAGCTATTTGGGAGGCTAAGGCAGGAGAATCATTTGAACCAGGGAGTCGGAGGTTGCAGTGAGCCGAGATTGTGCCACTGCACTCCAGCCTGGTGACAGAGCGAGACTGTCTCAAAAAATAAAAATAAAAATAAATACTTAGGAATGCAGTTAACCTAGGAGGTGAAAGATCTCTACAATAAGAATTGCAAAACATTGCTCAACAAACTCAGAGGTGACACAAATAAATGGAAATACATCCTTGCTTACAGATAGGAAGAAACAATATCTTTAAAATAGCCATACTGCCCAAAGCAATTTACAGGTTCAATGCTATTTCTATCAAACTGCCAATGACATTCTACACAGAACTAGAAATAACTATTTTAAAATTCATATGGACGCAAAACTGAGTCCAAATAGCAAAGACAGTCCTAAGTAAAAACAACAAAGCAGGAGGCATCATGCTACCTGACTTGAAACTATACCACAGGACTACAGAAACAAAAACAGTATGGTACTGGTCAAAAACAAGCACAAAGACCAATGGAACAGAATAGAGCCCAGTAATAAGGCTACATGCCTGCAACCTTATGATCTTCAGTAAAGCTGACAAAAACAAGCAATGGGTAAATGACTCCTTCTTCAATAAACAGTGCTAGAATAACTGGCTAAACATATGCAGAAGACTGAAACTGGATCACTTCCTTATACCATGCACAAAAATCAACTCAAGGTGGATTAAAGAGTTAAATGTAAAACCCAAAACTATAAAAACCTTGGAAGACAACTTAGGCAATAACATTCTGGACATAGGAACTGTCAAATATTTCATGACAAAAATGCCAACTCAATCACAAGAAAAGCAAAAATTGAAAAATGAGTCTATTTATTTAGAGACAGGGTCTCACTCTGTCACCCAGATCTTGGCTCCATTGCAATGTCCAACTCCTAGGTTCAAGCAGTTCTCCTGCCTCAGCCTCCTGAGTAGCTAGGACTACAGGTGTGCACCACCACACCCAGCTAATTTTTGTGTTTTCAGTAGAGATAGGGTTTTGCCATGTTGGTCAGACTGGTCTCCAACTACTGGCCTCAGGTGATCCACCCACCTTGGCCTCCCAAAGTGCTGGGATTACAGGTGTGAACCACCATGCCTGGCCAAAAAATGAGTCCAATTAAACTTAAGATTTTCTGCACAGCAAAAGAAACTATCAACAGGGTAAACAGACAACCTGCAGCATGGGAGAAAATATTTGCTAACTATGCATCCGACAAAGGTCTAATATCCACCATGTAAAAGGAACTTAAACAAATTTACAAGAAAATAAAACCAAACGACCCCATTAAAAAGTGAGCAAAAGACATGAACAGTTTTCAAGAGACATACATGCAGCCAATAAGCACACATTTCCTCTTAACACCAGTATTAAAAACCTCACTATCACTGACTATTAGAGGAATGCAAATGGAAACCACAATGAGACACCATCTCACACCAGTCAGAATGGCTACTAGTAAAATGTCAAAAAATAACATATGCTGGTGAGGTAGCAGAGAAAAGGAACACTTGTGCACTGTTGTTGGGATGGTAAATTAGTTTAGCCATGTGAAAGACAGTGTGGTGATTCCTAAAAGAGCTTAAAAAAGAACTACCATTCAACCCAGCAATCCCATTACTGGGTATATATCCAAAGGACTGTAAGTCATTCTACCATAAAGACACATGTACGACTATGTTAACTGCAGCACTATTTACAATTACAAAGACATGGAATCAATCTAAATACTCATAAATGGCAGATTGAATAAAGAAAATGTGGTACATATACACAATGGTATAATATGCAGCTATAAAAACAGAACAAGATGATGTCTTTTGCAGGAACATGGATGGAGCTGGAGGCCAGTATGCTTAGCAAACTAAAGCAGGAACAGAAAACCAAATAACACATGTTCTCACTTATAAGCATGAAGAAAATGATGAAAATACATGGATACAAAGAGAGGAAGCACAAACAGTGGGAACTACTTGTGGGAGAGGGTGGGAGGAGGGAAAGGATCAGAAAAAATAGGAAAGGAAAGGAATAGAAAAAACAACTATTGGGTACAAGGCTTAGTACCTGGATGATAAAATAATCTGTACAACAAACCCCTATTACCTAAGTTTTCCTATATAACCTGCACATGTACCCTCAAAAGTAAAATAAAAGTTTAAACATAGTTCCCTATTTTGAAAGATTAGAGCAATATTTCATTGTTGATAGACCTTCAATAATAGTCAAATGTACCTAATATATATTAAACATCTACATGGTTCTATGATACTAACATAAACCCATAGCCAATGAACTCTTATTGTCAAGAAGCTTATAGAGTAGAAGTAGAATTAATTTAATAATTAATATAGAGTAGAAGTGAATTAGTAGAGTAGAAGTGAATTAATTTAATAATATAAAAATGACTCTGTATTATAAATGTTAAAGTCAAGAGTAATTTTTTTTTTTTTTTTTTTTGACACAGAGTCTCACTCTGTTGCCCAGGCTGGAGTGCAGTGGCACCATCTCAGCTCACTGCAAGCTCCACCTCCCGGGTTCACGCCATTCTCCTGTCTCAGCCTCCCGAGTGGCTGGGACTACAGGCGCCCACCACCACGCCTGGCTAATTTTTTCTATTTTTAGTAGAGACGGGGTTTCACCGTGTTAGCCAGGATGGTCTCGATCTCCTGACCTCATGATCTGCCCGCCTCAGCCTCCCAAAGTGTTGGGATTACAGGCGTGAGCCACCACGTCCAGCCAAAGTCAAGAGTAATTTTAAAGGTAAAGTTGGGGTGAGATGAAGATTCTGGGGAAGATACAGCTGAACAAAAGCATATAGGAAACTCTATGTTTGGGAAAGAGTAAATCATATAATTCAGTTAAAAGACTCGTCACAATGTGGAAGCAGGGAGAAATTAAGCTGGCATGCTTCCTTGGGGCATCAAGCACACATTTTTCCCTACACACTGGTAGAAATAAAAACTGGACTCTAACTTCCAAATCAAAGTAAGAAATAAAAAACAAAACATTGTTTTCTAATATTTTTGTTATATATCATTTTCTTGATAAGAATCATACTCATTTTGGATTTTTTTTAAAAGAAGTTGGGGCACAGTTGAGTTTTGGGATAAATAATAGTTTTAAGCAAAACATAATATATCACAGCCTCCCACCTCTATGCATTAAGTTAGCAATATAATACTTAAGCAAAGACTATTGTCTTAACTTGGGCTGCCACGACAAAATATCCTAGCCTGAGTGGCTTGAAGAACAGAAATTTATTTTCTCATTGTTCTGGAGGCTGTCATCAGTGTGCCAGAATGGGTTCTAGCAAGGGATCTCTTTGGGTATGCAGATGCCCACCTTTTAACTGTGGCTTCACATGGCAAAGAAAGAGTGAGCAATCTCTCTGGTGTCTCTTCTTACATGGGCATTAATCACATCACAAGCATCTCACTCTCATGACTTTATCTAAACCTAATGGCCTCCCAAAGGCCCCATCTTTGAATACTTAACATTGGAGGTCAAGACATTCATTTTAGCATGTTAAATTTGGGGATACACAAATATTTAATCCATATTGATAGGAAACCTATTCTTAGTAGACTTCAATATATCACTTTTAGTTTTTCTAGAAAAAAGCATGCAAAATAATGCAGTATTATACTGTTTCTAAATAGATACAGATATGTGTACCTTAGAAACATAGATTATGCCTCTGTTCAAACATTCACTTAATATAGGTAATATTTGAATAAAAATTAGTCAACTCATTCTCAGAGCCAATTTAATGTAAAAGCTGATGCTGTCTACTATAGCACAGCACTGTCCAATACAGCATTCTGCAATTATGAAAGATTCTGTGACCACACTGGAGACTACTGTAAGCTACTAGCCACAGGTGGCTTTGGGGTATTTCAAATGTTGCTAGTGTGATTGAGGACCTGAAGTTTTCATTTTATTTGACTTTAATTAATTTACATTTAAATAACCACATGCAGGCTAATGGTTACTCTATTGAACAACCCACTTCCAGTATTTTATATGTTTTCATTTCCAAGCAGTTGAATTTTTAAATTGTTCCCATGTACTAATTTCAAGTTTTGCTTAAATATAGATATAAAAGTGGTATATATTATTTTGGAATTGGGGATTAATTAATACTTTATTTGTAGCTTAAAGTAGATTCTAGTTGTGTAAGTGTTCTTTGGATGCACACAGCTCACTGTATGTAACGTTTGTAACACTGGTCAATAGTAGCTCCACTGCTGAAAATGGAGTGGATATGATTACAAACACTTGGCACATTAATACCGTTGTGTTAAAAAAGATGCCTGACTTGATTCTATACAACATGTTCATTTAAGGATATTTTCTCTTGAATAATTTTGTTAGGTCACCAAAGAAGAATTAAATGGTGCTTAGCTAACAACTAGGACAGAAGTCTTATTACCCAAATGTTAGCCTAACAGATAAATATCATAATGTAAAGTTTCTTAGGTTTCTGAAAGCTAGTGAAAAACAATTTGAGGTTGTAAATATATTCCTTATTCATTTATGAATATATCTCATGGATGTTAATATATTTTCCTGTCACCTGACTAAACAGAAAAGCAAGATATTTCAAATGTCTGAAACTTGAAATTGTACAATAGCTGCACTGTTTATCTCTGATTAGTTTTAGAAAGTCGCAATTTATTGTGACAGTAATTTAAAGGAACTCTTTCAAGAGTAGTATTTTAAACCTAACATTTAACATATTTCTCCTTGTAACACTTTTGCAATCATGTGTTCTCTTTTCAAATAAATGCAAACATGAATCTAAGCTATCAAGGAAATAAATGAACCAAATCATACCACTGACCCATAAATGAAGCTGCTATCATAACAATTGAATTTACATCATTTAGGAAAAACATGCACATTCAGATGTGGTCAGGAAAACAGCATAGCTACAAATGATATGTGAAAACTAGGGTGGCTATAATATTTCAGAAACATCAAAAGCAATTTGAGTAGTTTTTAAGAATAAAAATAATTGTAGACTAAGTAATTAAGCTACAGAGCATTCAAAATACAAATGTACAGTGGGTAGAGGTATTTTCTAAAAGTGTGAACCAAGTATAAATCTTAACTTTTCAATATTTCCTGAGGATAAGAAATTGAGAACCACCTCATGGTATTTTCATATACATCGTAAGCATTGTCAAATAAACATTAGTAACATCAGAAATTACTCTCACCTTTATTTTCACTGTTTTACCTTTTTACCTTGATAAAGCCTACATATTGTCCCAGATAAATGTAAGGTTAGATTCATATCAACAGGCATTAGCTTTTGTGTGTGTGTGTGTGTGTGTGTGTGTGCACATGTGCACTTATATGTGTGTGTATTTGTATTATATACATATATTTTTAACCATGAAATCATGCCTATTTACCTGGGTGTGTTATTTGTATAAAGGTTAAAAACATAATTTTAAAAATTAAGCTACTATGGCCGGGCGCGGTGGCTCACGCCTGTAATCCCAGCACTTTGGGAGGCCGAGCCGGGTGGATCACGAGGTCAGGAGATCCAGACCATCCTGGCTAACACGATGAAACCCCGTCTCTGCTAAAAATACAAAAAAAATTAGCCGGGAGTGGTGGTAGATGCCTGTAGTCCCAGCTACTCGGGAGGCTGAGGCAGGAGAATGGCATGAACCCAGGAGGCGGAGCTTGCAGTGACCTGAGATCGCGCCACTGCACTCCAGCCTGGGGCACAGAGCAAGATTCCGTCTCAAAAAAAAAAAAAAAAGAATAAGAAAAAGAAAAAAAAGCTACTATTTACTTCCTATAATCTGCCTTATAAGATCTTAGAGAGGAGTTTGTTGTGTATTATATAAGTCATTTGTTTGTCAAATTTCATATTAAAGTGTGTGTGTGTGTGTGTGGATGGATGGATGGATAGATAGATAGATAGATAGATAGATAGATAGATAGATAGATAGATAGATTTGAGATAGAGTCTCTCTCTGTCACCCAGGCTGGTGTACAGTGGCGTGAGCACAGCTCACTGCAACCTCCGCCTCCCGGGTTCAAGCGATTCTCCTGCCTCAGCCTCCCTAGTAGCTGGGACTACAGGTGTGGGCCACCAAGCCCGGGTAATTTTTTGCATTTTTAGTAGAGACGGGGTTTCAACCCGTTAGCCAGGATGGTCTCTATCTCTTGACCTCGTGATCCGCCGGCCTCAGCCTCCCAAAGTGCTGGGATTACAGGCATAAGCCACCACGCCCAGCCCATATTTATATTTTTTATAAAAACCTAAACCTGGAAATAAGGCATGAAAGGGCTGCATGAACTTTCAATGCCATGTTAGAGCACAATCACACTAGGTCACCAGGCTTTCTAAGGGAATAAAACTTCTATAACTTACTGTTTAATTTTACCCAGGAGCTGGATTCTGTAAAGTTACAAGAAAACGTGAAGCAAATTGATAATATGCAAGTTATTTTTGTCTGATAGGATGCAATTGATTTCTGCCTTGTAAAGAAGATAATTCATGTGTTTATGATATTCTTAATCATTTTTTAAAAAACTAACAAAGCTACCCTTTTCCACAAACTGTTATTTTAATATGCCACTGTGGTTTTTTTAATATTCTCTCTTGAACTATTTTTTTTTTTGCAATTCTGTTGGCTTACTATTGATGACTTAAAACCTTGACATGCTTGCTATGAATTTATGACAGTTATGCTTTTAACATTTTGTTTTTGATCACGTATTTTGTTGGTGAGATTATTTTAAAGCTAGTAGAATTCAGCTAATGAAATGCTTGGCGATATGTATCATTAGGAGGAAACATAAGGTTAAGTGATACTTGAGACTGAGGTAAGCTGAGAAAGAGTATCATCTCTGTGTGAAATAGCTTACAATTCTCCACACCATCTGTTCATCACAATCAATGCAATGACCGTCAGAAGTAAGAGGAAGCAAATCTGTAAACTTCCAATTTAGTGGTGTTTTTAAACCATCATTATCATTAAGGAAAAATTCATTAAATTATCTGTTGTGCTGAGTAGTATACGGATCAATTTAACAACATAGTTCTTGCCTCCTGGCAGCAGACAAATTAAAATAGATACTAGTGGTAAATTCAAGGGCAAACACATACAAATAAGTTTATCACCATGAACAGATTAAATGAGTAAGATGAATATTTATTTTAAAAAAGAGAATGTGATGATCCTATGCAGAGTTTTAGTAACACTATAGTCTGTCTGAACAAGCATGCTGTTACTGGATTAGAACTAGATTTGAACTCCCATTTCAGAACTTTTGAAATTTGATCATGAGAGATGAATGAATATTTTTGTAACTTTTTATTTTCTCTAAGTCAGTTGGCTAATTGTTATTACTGGGACTCTACTATGAAGTACTGAAAATAAAATCCTAGAAACTATAAAAATTGATTTCTGGGCTTAAGAAACTTGTTCATACATTGTTTTCTATTAGTCATTCTTGTCTAAATTATGTTATTCTTTTATTATGCCACCTGTTTGTAAGTAATTGTAAAACTCTGCAGGAACCTTTGAGATGTTTATTTAAAAACCAAAGTGTGGGTATTAGGTGGGCTCACTGATACTGGGGTATCATTTTTTCTAGGCTGCTTCAAGAGACACAGGGCTAAGAAATTTAATTATAGCTTCTTATAAATACCTCCACTTTCAGTTCAACCACACAGACTTTTCCCTTACCTTTCCACTATTCATGCTTTCCTTCCTTTTGTCACAGTGAGGACTCTCACTAGAATCTGTTATAATGTCTCCTCTCTCAATCCTGATATTATTATTATTATTATTACTATTTATTATTATTATTATTATTATTACTAGCAGTAGTAGTTGTAATAGTAGTAGTATTTTACAGGGTCTCATTCTGTCACCCAGGCTGGAGTGCAGTGGTGTGATCACAGCTTAGTATAGACTTGACTGCTGAGGCTCAAGTGATCCTTCCACTTCAGCCTCCTAAGCAGCTGGGACTACAAGTGCGTGCCACTATGCTAAGCTAATTTTTATATTTTTTTAGTGACAGGATTTTGCGAAGTTACCCGGGCCTCCCAAAGTGCTGAGATTACAGGCGTGAGCACTGTGCCCAGTGTATCCTGATATTATTAATATGTATCTTCTCTCTTCCCTGGTTAACCTGGTTAGGAATTTATCCATTTAATCCTGGAAAATCAGCTTTTGTTTCCTACAAAGTCATGTGGCTGGCAAGAGGTAGAGTCAGAACATGTGAGATCACGCTCTGATATGTAATGATTTTTCTCTTTCTGGATGATATTTATTTTTAAAGTTAGGCATTCTCTATCTTTAAGTTATGATGAAGGCATGGTTTTTGTAGTTTGTCATTGTTCTTGTTGTGTGTTGGTTTTGGAGGGATGATTGATAGATGACTATCTTGGAATCTACTGCTCTCTTTCTGTATCTGAATTGCAGAATGTAAGTTTGCATTTACTAATCCAAAATTGGTTTAAGAATGTTTTAATATAAATCGTTATTAATTATATTGCTATAGTGTTATATTAAAAAATACTTAAAGGACATGAACTATTTCTAACTCCTAATATATTACAAATGAGTAAATATAATAAATGATATTTATATCAAAATAGCTGTCGCCATAATATACGCTGACCAAAAGCTCAATACTTTCATTAATATCAGTGATAAGCCAAGTATATCAGCTATCAATGTTATTAAAAGATTGTTTTAGAAGATATACATAAAGCAATACACCAGGAAAAGGAAACAGAGGTATAAAAGTTGGAGAAAATGAGGAAAATACATTATTTCAAATAATATTTAAATATAATTTGAGAGTTGACCACTTAAGAACTATGTAATTGTCTAGTATAGTAGAGACAAAAAAAAAAAAAAAAACCAGACATTTCAAAGACTTGGTTAAAATAATAACCAGTCAGAAATCACAAAACTAAATGATCCACATTTTTCAGAAAGAAAAAGGTGTGGAAACAAATATGAAAAACTGAAAATTTACTTAGAATAAATAGTAGAAAATAAGAAAATTATAGTTGATGACTCAGTATTGAAATACTATAATATAAATTCTAATGAAATTTGAAATCATGTGGGCAAGTTAATTAAAAACAAAAGAATAAATGCTTGTCCATATTGCTTTATGTTTACATAGTTCATCTGGTAGAATAAATATTATTTTGAAAAAAGAAGGGCTCTTAGTGGGAAATACAATACCAAAGTTTAAAACATACTAGTTAAAACAGTCTGTGATTGGAGCAAGGCTAGATTGATTGTGTATATATGAGAGAATAGCATTTGCCAAGTAAAAAAATATTATATTTGCAAGATACTTAATATGAAATTATCAATATTTTCCTATTCCTTGTGTACAATATTTGACTAAAAAATCAGTGTGTATGGTATTGTTATTTTTAGAAATCATGTGCATTGAAAAATAATTTTAATTAGGCAAAAATTTACTTGTACCTTTTTATATTTTCTAGATTTTGTATAGTAACATAAAATTCAGTGTTTAACAATGATTTAGAAAATCTTTTATTCTTTACCTCATGAGTTTAAAATGAGAGATATTTACAATAATTGATTTATGTGTATATTAACTACAGTTTTGTTTATAATAATACAATTTTTCAATTTACTTATGTGCTTATATAAAATTAAATAACATTACCTTTTAAAATGAAATTTCAAAGTCTATTTAATATTCAAAATATTGAGTGAAAAGGCAGTATAAATCTGTATAACTGTGGATAATTATAATATAATGGAAAGCAAAAAAAAAAAAAACAGAACATTAAGTGTAGTTATCCCTGTCTAGTGGTATTATACATGGTTTTAAAAAATTACTTTCTATATTAGACACTGAAACTTGTTACAGCAATCAATAAGTGAGAGCTTATTTAAAAGAATGATAAGACAATAGTGTCAAATGCTACAAACTCTTTGGTGGGTGGGATGGGGGTTGAAATGTATCACATTTACACCGAAGTCCAACGGTAGGCGTCACCTCTCTGTGGTAAGTGGTCTGACCAGTCGATGAGTATTAGAGTTATCTACTTTTTAAATGAAGCAGTGAAGGTAGAGAGTGTTAGGGCAATGGTGGAAAACATGGGGTAATAATAAAGAGAAGATTTGAGTCTAGTTAAATTGTCAATGGAAAGACCGTTGAAAGAGGGGAAGGGAAAAAATACAGTAGAGAGAGAGTATCATCGAAATTCTTAAGAGGTAATTTGAAGTTCTTGAGGAAAAAGAAGAAAATAATTGGGATGTAGAACATAGATGAACTAATTAGATAAGTGTTGGATACCTTTGACAAAGTATGAAGAAGAGGGAGGTGAAAGATAGAAAATTTTAAAAATATTTAGATAGGGGCCAAAATACAAAGTTTTTTTTTGTAATATTTGCAATTTTGTCTTTGAAATAGAGGACTGGTAGGCTCAATTAAAAGTATTTTAAGGAAATTAACTTTTTTTTGCAGTACAATAATGATATGACTACCTTTAGCTGTGAAATAATAGTTTTTCAGTCATCAGTTTTGTAACAGTTAAGACACTTAAAATGCCAAATATCATTAAGGCTTTGAGAAATGAGAACTCTTTTTTTTTTTTAATTATAGTATTTTTGTCTTTTTTTTCCTTTTTCTATTATTATTATACTTTAAGTTTTAGGGTACATGTGCACAATGTGCAGGTTAGTTACATATGTATACATGTGCCATGCTGGTGTGCTGCACCCATTAACTAGCATCAGGTATATCTCCTAATGCTATCCCTCCCCCCACCCCCCACCCCACAACAGTCTCCAGAGTGTGATGTTCCCCTTCCTGTGTCCATGTGTTCTCATTGTTCAATTCCCACCTATGAGTGAGAACATGCGGTGTTTGGTTTTTTGTCCTTGCGATAGTTTACTGAGAATGATGATTTCCAATTTCATCCATGTCCCTACAAAGGACATGAACTCATCATTTTTTATGGCTGCATAGTATTCCATGGTGTATATGCCACATTTTCTTAATCCAGTCTATCATTGATGGACATTTGGGTTGGTTCCAAGTCTTTGCTATTGTGAATAGTGCCGCAATAAACATACGTGTGCATGTGTGTTTATACCAGCATGATTTATAGTCCTTTGGGTATATACCCAGTAATGGGATGGCTGGGTCAAATGGTATTTCTAGTTCTAGATCCCTGAGGAATCGCCACACTGACTTCCACAATGGTTGAACTAGTTTACAGTCCCACCAACAGTGTAAAAGTGTTCCTATTTCTCCACATCCTCTCCAGCACCTGTTGTTTCCTGACTTTTTAATGATTGCCATTCTAAGTGGTGTGAGATGGTATCTCATTGTGGTTTTGATTTGCATTTCTCTGATGGCCAGTGATGGTGAGCATTTTTTCATGTGTCTGTTGGCTGCATAAATGTCTTCTTTTGAGAAGTGTCTGTTCATATCCTTCACCCACTTTTTGATGGGGTTGTTTGTTTTTTTCTTGTCAATTTGTTTGAGTTCATTGTAGATTCTGGATATTAGCCCTTTGTCAGATAAGCAGGCTGCGAACATTTTCTCCCATTTTGTAGGTTGCCTGTTCACTCTGATGGTAGTTTCTTATGCTGTGCAGAAGCTCTTTAGTTTAATTAGATCCCATTTGTCAATTTTGGCTTCTGTTGCCATTGCTTTTGGTGTTTTAGGCATGAAGTCCTTGCCCATGCCTATGTCCTGAATGGTAATGCCTAGGTTTTCTTCTAGGGTTTTTATGGTTTTAGGTCTAACGTTTAAGTCTTTAATCCATCTTGAATTAATTTTTGTATAAGGTGTAAGGAAGGGATACAGTTTCAGCTTTCTACATATGGCTAGCCAGTTTTCCAAGCACTATGGACATTGTTATTTCGAGTGAAATTAATATAACCTTTTCGAAGAATTATTTAAAATTCTGAGTAAAGTTAGATAGCACTTCTGAAGTCTATCCTTCATAAACTTTCATGTGTTCAAGAAAATAGGCATAAAGATGTTCAACCTAGCACTGTTATATTAACAAAGGAATAAAAATAATTTAACTTTCCAACAGAAGGGAAATGAAAAAATTGTGGTTTAGTAGCATGATGAAATGTTACTAGAGACATTAAAATGAATAAGTTACACATAAATAACTGCCAAAACTTTATATTAAATTAACTCAAGTTTCAAAAAGGTATACATAATTATTAATATCTTATTAGTATAAACATTTATTGATAAATTATAAAAACAAATATGGAAGCTATATAAAACAACTTCAGGAAAGTGAGAACCGATTGTCAGCAAAAGAGAATAAAGAGCATAACTTTAGTTTCATCTATAACTTTTTGCAATCAGAAATTTCTTAAAAGGCTTATTTATGTAAACCAAATACAGTTATTTATCTAACTGCCTATGTTGAAGACAGATGAGCGTTAACTGAAGTTGTTACTAATTGGGGACTTAGATAAAAATTAATATGTAATATAAAGCAGCACTCCTCAAACTTTTGGCAGGGACCCATTTCATGGAAGACAGGGACCCATTTCATTGAACCAGGGACCCATTTCATGCAAGACAATTTTTCTACAGATGGGGTCAGGGAGGTAATTTCGGGATGAAACTATTCCACCTCAGATCATGAGGCATTAGATTCTCATAAGGAGTGTGCCATCTAGATCCCTTGCATGCGCAGTTCACAATAGGGTTTGTGCTCCTATGAGAACATACTGCCCCTGCTGATCTGACCTAGGTAGAGCTCAATCCGTAATATTCTCCTGCCGCTAACCTACTGCTGTGTGGCCAGGTTCCTAACAGGCTATGGACAAGTGCTGGTCCCTTGTCTGGGGGCTGGGGACTCCTGATATAAAGTATATTCACATGTAAGTTTAAGAATAAGTATTTATGCAGTAGGATATTTGAGAAGATAAGTGAAGTAGCCCCGCAGGCTTAACGTCTACCCTGAATCTGTCAAACAACTCAAGGACTGACCCTCATCTAAGAGTTATGATTTTGAAATTGAAACCCAACACAAATGTTTAAAGATATGTTGAAATGCGAATTAAATTTTTCTGTGTTACATAATATAATATTAGGATTGTTTATTGAAAATTATAGAGACATAAGCTCAAGGACAAACTGCCTAATGATTAGAAATATATCTATTTAAACACATCCATTGATGAAGAATTTTATACCTCCTAAAAAATCAATTCAGTAGCCCAATAGGAGATAGGATTTTATAGAAAATGTAAATAATTATGTTCCCCTAACTCAAAATATCAGGATGCTTTTCTCGGAGGTTTATGCATGTATGGCCTGATTGAAGCAGATTTAATGAATATGAAGATTGTGGTTTAGTTTAGACTAAAAATAATTGAAAGAAGAAAGGATGGGTGGGAAGAAAAGAGAGAGAGAGGCAGGGTTCTTTTCATGTTTAAAGAAAGTGAAGTTCTGAGGTGTTGGTAATGTTTTAGTTCTTTGAGTGGGTGAACTTTCACAAGTGTGTTCAATTTGTGATGATACTGAGCTGTCTCTACGATTTGTGCACTTTTTGTATGTGTACCTTATTTCAATAAAGAGCTCTGTAGGTCTTAAAATTTGCAAGTTCAGGAAACAAATTGCAGGTAAAAGTCAACTTGATGAGGTAAGTCTTTTGTATAACACTGTAGGCGTAAAAAGCACCGTGACCTCAAAAGTCATTAAATTTCATTTTTTTACTCTTTGAGGTTCATAGACGAAAAGCCCAACATGAAGTAAGATAATGAGTCTGTAAAGCTTCTCTGGGGGCTTAATGAATTCAAGGAGAGAAAGGACATTTCAAAGTTTCCATTACTAAAATATTTATGTCAATATTTAATCAAGCACAGCAGTTTTTCCCATCAGTTTCAATTTTTATTGATCATGGTGTTGAGATATTGGCTTTCCATTATTATTTGGATGCACATTATCCCATATCTTATCCAAATATATTTACTTCCTGACTCTCAGTGAACATGGAACAATATGGAAATGAACATTATGATATGAAAATGAGGGCTATTGTACTTTCAAATATGGAAATAGAATAGATCTACAAAAGTCCACACAGAAAATCTGGATATGAATTAATAACTACAATTACCAACTTGATATTTTTTGTGAAAGGCTTTATGAATTTCTATTTTATCTCCTTTCAGAACCGATTACCTTAAATATAGCTTACATTACAACCAGCTATGATGTATCACAGACATTTTCTGGGACATATCTCAAGCATACTTTTAATAGAGGGCAGGGGAGAAATTTGTTTCTTTATAATTTACAGACTCATACCAGTGGTCTTCTTACCTTATCCTAGAAGCTACTTATGCTGTGAGTTTATGCAACTGATATCTTAGCTGAACTCCTTTCTGTGGGTATTTTTGGGGAGAGCATTTTGACTTCTAATTAATTTTATCTATCAAGTTCTTATGTAAACAAAGCCATATATTTTTCTCATGAACTTTTGAAAATTTTCTTATTTTATTTTTAGAGCAGCGGTCTCACTCTGTTACCGAGACTGGTCTCAAACTTGTAACTTTGAGCTGTCTTCTCACCTCAACCTCCCAGCTAGCTGGGATTATAGGCATAAGCCATTGTAGCCGGCTAGTCATAACTTTGTTAATAGGTCAAATGGCAACAATATACAAAATAATAAAATTATGATATTAATGGATAATTTTTGCTAGTATCTCAGAGACAGATATTTTGTTCTGCTAAATTAATAATGAAAATAGTTAACATTTTTTGTACTTTACAAACGTAGTCACAAAAATCCTATAAAGCAATTATAATTTTACTTGTTTTTTGGAGGTGTAAGTTGAGTTTAACTTTCCAGCCCCCAAAACAAAGTTTTTTCTACCCTGGCTTACTCCTTGGCACTTCCTTCCACATGTTTTCTATTTGGTGATGGTATCTTTGTCCTTGTAATCACCTGTGTTCAAAATCCTGGGGACATCTTTGGCTATTTCTTGCTGAAACTCCATTCACCAATTACAGATGGATAAATTGTCAATGAAAAATAAAAGAATATAAAACAAAAACCAACAGCTCACAAATATACTAAAAATATCTTACAAGGGGAAAAACTTTCCTAACTATGATATAAAATATAAAATATGTCATTAAGACTGTCAGAAAACTTTGACCATAAAATCTAAAATGTAAAACATGAACACAATTCTGTATTTTAAAAAAACACAGTATAAAAGTTAAGAAAAAGACCAACCAGGAAAAATTAGCAAAATATAAAGAACCAATACTACTAATAAGGAAAAATTCTCAAAATCAATTACTGATTTTTAAAATTTTTAACAGGAAAATGGTCAAAAGACAGGCAATAAGCAGTTAAGTACAGAGAAAATATAGTTGACTAATTTAAGTGAAAACAAAATGCTCAATCTCACAAAGAGTTAAGGAAATACAATGGGATGTCAGATTTCATCTATCAGGGAACAAAAGACTGATTAACTCTTGGGGAAAGCGAGGGGAATTAATTATTGAAAAAAGTATACTTTGGCAACTTTTAAAATTCGGTTAAAAGGTTTATATGTACTTTTCTTACCAATACCAAGGAAAATAAAGAAATCATATATCTGGGGCAAAGTTTTTCCTAAGGGATAGTCATTGTCATAAATAACAACCATGTTAAATATGAGAAAAATGTGACAACTACTAACGTGTCTTAAGAGCTGGGAAATAAACCCAAACGCCTCTTGACCAAGCGGTGGGCTCTGTTCCTGTAACTGCTTCTGCTTTATGTCACTGTCCACTGTGCTCTCAACTTTTCTGTCCTAAAGGTTTTTCCCCTAATGTGCTGTTTATTTTCTCGATCAATGTGATGTTATCTCTTCACCTAGTAAACTCTTCTTGATTCTTCATCTCTCACCACCCTCTAGCCCATGCCCACCAGTCTTAGGTATCCACAGTAATTTAGGAATGCTCTCTCCTCTCTCATTCCATGTTCAATATCTTTCTCCTCTGCTGTATTTTTAAGTTCAATGGAGACAGAGATCATATCTGATGTGTCTGACCTTTGCTGTATGCCTAGCACTTAACTTAATGACCGGCACCTGTTAGGCACTTAATAAATTCTTTCTGAATTAACTAATGAAATTACTTTGTATGTATACTATGGAATTCATCCTATTTATTCATTACAATGATGTCATGAGTACACTCAACTATTCATCCATTACAATGATGTCATAGCATATTTAATGAAAAGTACTTCATGATATAAAACTGATTAAAAGCACTTATTCTCGTACATACCATCCCTAACTCTCAGGTCGCAAGACAACTATCTGCTTTGAGGTCATTACAACTAACCACTAATTATGTCTTCAGATATAAGGTCATTGGTCACAAGAAGCTCAAGGCTTCCGGGTATTCCATTATACTCTGGATTCTAATCTACATAAGGCACCAAATATAGTTTTTTTTTTTTCCTGACTCTTATTTTCTTCTTTTCCCTAACTCTTTCAACCTTTCTGCTGTACTCTCCAAAAGCCAACATCAGTTTTCAGTAAACTCTATAACCTCAATGTTTCCTTCTCCTCTTGCTCTAATGAAAACCCAACTTCTCTGAATTAACCCTTTCCCTTGAAGCCTCCTTAAAAGGTGCTTCTTTTGTTCTTTCATATTTCTCATAGTCTGGAGCCTGAAGTAGAAGAGGTATTCTCCTTGCTCATTACCTTTTCCAGACTATCTTTACTCCTTCTAAAACATCTTCAGCTTCTCATGTTCGGTATTACCAGACAATATGTTCCAGCAATACCCTTCCATCACACACATCACTTCTACTTAAACCTTGAAGATTTTTAGTCACTGGGATCCTCCTAATTATACTCCTTTCTCTTGGTCATGATCTATACAATTATATAACCTGTAACTGCAGGTTTGATAGTCTCAATTTTAAGCACCCCCACTTGCTGCCAATTACATATGAGTTTTTCAGTTCATCTTTTTTTTGGCCTACTTTATCGACTCCTTGACACCAAGAAATATTAGTGCAGTCTATACATTGAGTTCTTTCCTTAAACTCTTTAAATTCTATAACTCTTCATTATAATTAGTTTCTTATATAAAAGTCAAATTTCTTACCCATATTCCTTTCATTGTATTTGTCTAGGAAGCATCCAATTTTGGTTCCACGCAACTGCAACAAGCTGGAAAAATAAAACCCACAAAACAGTGCTGGTATCGTCTCATTTCAAATTCATGGTTATTAATCTTAAGTGGGTCTTTATTACTGTGTAGCAACCTTCCTAAATATCCCTAGTCAATCTCCTCCACTCTCCTAGATGATGTTTTCATACTGATGTTTTGTGTTCTCAGGTACTCTTAATGCTTTCCTCACTCTCATCACATAGCTTAGCTCCTTTTATGAGAAGAAACCTGGAAAAATAAGAATCCTAGTCTTTCCACAAGTATCAACTACTTCATCATCCCCACTCAACTCCATCTGTATGTTTTTCCTTTCCTCTGTTTGTTTGGATTAATTTTCTGTGTTCCTGTCTGAGGAAACCCCCCCCACTTGCACACTAGATACACCGTTTGTTACCTTTTTCACTCCACAAATCCTTCTTTCCTGAATCATTTTTTTCTTCCTCTCTACCAGATCATGCCTACCAGCTTAGCAAAAAAAAAATGCTATTATTTCTGTCATCTAAAGAAAGAATCCTCTATTGATCAGAATCCCCTCAGCTACCGTTTTTCTTCCAGGGTACCACACACACACATACACAAGGGTAAATCGACTTTACTCTTTTCCAAAAACAGTAATGTATTCTTCCTTGGTACATGATTATCATTCTCAAGACCTTTTCTTTTCAGACTGAACTATTTGACTGCACAAGTTTCCTCTATTGGTTCCTGGGGTCAGTATCTGAGACATCATCTAAAACTAGGGAAGGGTGCTCAGGGGAGAATTCCTGTCTCTGGAATTCAGATTTTATTTTTCCTCACTTCTTGTTGCCCATATAATCAGTATAAACTTCTCTTTTTGACTTGTGTTTTTGTTCTCGTCCTTAGATAGGGACACTATATTGCTCTTACATGATAAGTCTATGGGCTCTGCAATGATAGAATCCTGGTTTATGAGATATTGCAATATTAAAAATGAGACTATGACATTTTATCCATAGCTGGGTTTATAATATACATGTACGAGTATGGTGTGTGCATGTTTCTGATTCACTGATAATCAGGCAAGCCTTACTTTCACAAATGAGGAAACTTAGGCCCAGGGAAGTGAATTAACTTTTAAAAATACCATCCACAGAAGAACCAAAGTTAGGAGAGCAACCTCTGTTCCAAATATCCATACCATGGCTAGACTCACTCGGACTTTGCCCACAAACTGAATATTTTGTCCACATATGAAACAAAATTTATGTTTGAGTTTTTTCTCATTCCTTGTCACCAAATGAGCTGAATGCTTTAAGAACTGATGGATGGCATGGACATAGACAGAAAGGAGTATTGAAAGGCTGCTGTGAAAAACCAAAAGATACCTTGTGATTTTGTTGGCTATAAAATCCCTTCTGCTTTCTCTCTGGACCATAGCTGTGTTTCTTTTCTCCTTTACCATTGATAAAGAGAACATCAGTAAGTTCTCTTGTTTCTTGTTTCTTTGCCCATTACTCCAAATAGAATATTTTGCTACTTAGTTCCTCTTTTTGCTTTCCTCTTTATTTTTCTTACAGACAGCTGTTGCACAAGTACCACGTTTGTTTTAGGAAAAAGACATTTAAAGATAATAATTCACAAAGAATGGATAGCTCTAATCCTGGCTGTTAGTTTATATGTTATATGTTTGCTTACCATATTTATTCTAAACACCTGTTGTGAAACTAAGTGAAAAAAGGTAAATGAGAAAATGTCTCCACAGACTTTTGTTTTGCCAGACACAGGCCTACTTACTAAGGCATTTCTAGCTTACATAAGACAAAACCAACAAAAAAACAACAAAAACCTTAATCATATTTTCCCTGATTTCAGCATTGAAATGAAGTCATTAAAGAGTGCAAAAACTAAAAAGGATCAAACAAAACCCTTCAGTCTCTCAAATTTTCAGTAATGCAATATTCATGATAAGACATGAACTAATCTATTCCATGAAATTCAGTGACAATTTAAAAAAGGAAAAATAAAATTTCACACACTAAACTATATTTGCACAATTTTGAAATGGGCTTATAGATCCGAGTTTTGCTTATAATATGACTTTGTAAGAATTGAAGCTAATTGAATTTGAGAAGTGTCAGGCACCATTTATAAGCAAAACCAAATGCTATGAGATTTTCAAGCTCAAATCTGGTTTAAGCTTGAATGAACTCAATTTACAAATTCAGACTTTAAACTTGCAGAGTAAAATGCATATAGGGAGAAAATACGCTTTCATCAGCAACTAATTTGGAGTTTATATTCCTACATTCTGTTCTATTTTTCCAAATGATGGAAATACTTTTTGACCTTGAAGTGAAGGTTTGAAGGTGAAGGACGGAAGAAAAGCGACCAAGATGAGTCCGTTTGTCTCCTATCAGTCAGAAAATTTTTCTGAGAAAGCTAATGAGAATATAAAACACTTTAATGTGTTTCTCTTGAGAATTTATTTAGGCTGAGACTACCAGAATGACTACCTGGTTGTTATCTATCCAGTGTGTAACCAGAAGCTTTCACAATCAGAGATTAAAATGGCATAAGCACAATTTAGAGTAGTCTTATCCCTGGTTCGAGATGATTCACTATCCTATAACAGAGACAAGACCCCTGGACATGTGGCCCCAAGGGCAAATGCTTAATAATAGTGCAAACCATGAAGATGAAGGGTGAACAAGATGACAGGATTAGCAGGAGCCTGTAGCCTGATAGTAGGAAGCAAGATGACTGGATAATGGATCTAAAATCTTGGACACCAATAAGAAGATGACAAAATGATGAAAGAGATCATTAGAGGGACTGAGATGACAGGCTCTTCTGATGACAATGCACAAAGGAAATATACTGTGTCAGTGAATCTAGAAGCACTGCTGCTATCAACTCTGTGAGCACCATTCACCTAATTGTCAGCTAGGATTGTTTAGTTTTATAAAAGCCTTGCTGCCTTTGTGCTGTAGGAGTAGGAGAATTAGAATGGTGGTGCTTTATCAGAAGGCTGAGGAACAATACACATATCCCCACAAGCGCAAGAAGAGAAGAGAATGCCATGAGAGAGGACTGGCTTATTTTTCATTCCAGCAAGATTTCATAGGTTCAGCTCACTTGGTCCTGTTTATTCACCTGTCTCCAAGGATACTTAAAAAAAAAAAAAACTATTAATGGTTTACTTGATGTATTTTCTCTGTGTTCCCCTCCTATCCCCTTTCTTCACATTCATGTCTTGGACACAATTGGAAAGAGAAGTTAGAAACTATTTTCCCTTTATAGGCTCTTCTCTGGTGTTCCATTGAGCTCAAGTCTCCAGCCCCGGTCCAGTGTCAGTGCCTACTCAGTGCTTAACTGGGATCTGTTTTGAGCTCTGTCCCACATCTTCTAAGCCATTGTCTTGCCAAAACTGTGTGATGCATAATACCTGCAGGAATCCACAAAGCTGTTTACATATAGGTATGAACTTCCAAATATGTGCAAGTTAACTTGGGGGCAACTCTTAATTAGTTGAGGACTGCAGGATCAGGTGGATAAATTCTTCCCACTTAAGTCTCTCCTGTGGACAATTTGGAAAGACTTACTGCATGGTTTCTTAAAGGATTGCAAGAACCATCAGTTTCCAGTTGCCCATGGCAGAGATCTACTCAGTGAATATTTGGATCCTGTTTTTTTCCTTCCTATCATTTTCACAATAGCTACTTTTTAATTTGTATTCCTTTTGATCACTTCTCACGATGAAGTAACCAAGAAGCAACCCTTTTTCTCAGGGGTTTACTTTATAGAGGGTCAAGACTAAGATAGTTTTCATTTTATGCTTCCTGGACTGGAACAGTAATCTGAAGCTGGTTTTCTCAAAATGTTATACAGAACACAACTTTCTCAAGATGTTATTATATCGAAAATTTTATTCTGAGAAGAATTTGGAAAGCACTTTATCCTATAGCATACTAAAGGGTTTGAAAAGTTCCACAGTTAAATTTGCCTATTTAAATTTGTTTAAACAATCATTTCTTCACATTTTTTGACCAACAAAAATTTTAAAAAGCAATAATTAGTAATCAGCAGCAACAACATCAACAGCCACAATATAGTATTCCATGAAATGTATCAAAAGAAATGCCGTGATGAATTTCTTAGTGTAGTAATTATGTATTACTAGGAAGTCTCTGAAATCTTAGATTGTGCTCAGGAAATGCTTGGCTTCCACAAGTTTTCTGATGTTTGGAGCAAATATGTACATTTTCCTATAGTCTGTCAAGGAAAGCCCAGTTTTAACTATGAAAAACTTTACCTGCATGTGATCTAATATAATCCTGTCTGCCTGCCTGCCTTCCTTCTTTCCCTCCTTTTATGTTTTTTATTATAAAACTATTGAGGGAGGGGGTAGTGACTGCACAAAATAAATGCAAACAATATCTAACAATGTATCATTAAAAACAAAATGTATCAAGTAATATGATTTTTAAACAGTATTTATTGCTCCATACATTAGGCAATAATTCTGTTTTTCTTCTGTAGCTTTACTTTTTATTATAAAATTTGTAAACATTCAAAAATATATATATATACATAAAACACCAATGTACTCATTAGATTTAACAATTGTTAACATTTGGAAACTTTGCTTCATCTATTTTTTGCTAAAGTAATTTTATAGTAAATTATAAAACTAATGGCATTCACAATATTTACTTCAGTACTGGAATCACTAATATAAATAAAGACATTATGTTAAATACCACCCAACACCTTGATCACATCTAACAATAATTCTCTATTATCATCTAACATCTATTCCATATTCAACCTCTTGATTGGATCAAAACATTGGTTTGTTCAAAATAGAACCCAGTTAAGGACACTATGTTATATTCATTTTTTATTGCTCCTAAGTTGCTTTAAATTTAAAACAATACCTGCTTTTCATGACTTTTTTGAAGAAGCCTAACTGGTAGTCTTATAGAATGTCTTACCTTCTAGGTTTCTCAGATTGGTTCCTCTCATTGCCATTGAATTTGTTCCTTTATCTCCTACATTTTCCTTAAATCAGAAATTATATGTAAAATATTGATAAATTCAGAATAAATATTTTCAAGAGGAAAGTTTCATAGAAAATGCAGCATTATTTTATTTTGACATATTCCCATATGAAGAATTATATTTATTGAGCCTATTCTGTAGCAACCTACATCCACTGGTGAAAATCTATCAGGAAACTCATCAAATCTTTCTCACACAGAGCTCCTACTCATGCTTTCCTAGTTCCCTCAGTAGACATAGGACCCTTTCCAGTTGAGAAGATAGCTTTTACACTTATCCTTTCCCTTTAATCTATATAGTTAGACTGCTTCTCCACTTGCATGTTTAATAAAATATATTTCTGTACCATTCGTGTGATGAAATTTCATAACTAATGACCCCTTGTTTCTGTTTTCTGAATGCATTTACGAGGATCTTATTTTCTACCTTTTTTCATTAAAGAATCCAGCACATGGGGTCTGGGATTCTGGAGCCTAAAATATATGCGCCTAGTCAAGTTTAACAGTTTAGCACCTAATTATTTAATTATATTCATAGTGAGAACGTCAGATTCTCTGCTTACGAGTAGATTCCCTGATAAACCATTTCTTATTCTGTTAACCAATTTCTGTTGAACAATTCAACATATTCTATATTCTAGCAGAAACTTTCACCTAATTTAATATTTTTTTCTATCATAATTTTTCTTCCTAGAACATTCTCACTTACTTGTTTTTTACCTATTACATTTATCTTTGAACTCCTTGCACTTTTTATGTTTGTTTAGTGAGTTAGCTACTTTCCTCACAGATATTACAGAAAAAAAAAAGCTAGTTCTACAATTTTTTCATATGGTTGCTAAATACAAAACCACCACCCACTTCCCCTTCCCAAACCTCATCTCATGCCAACATGGTAGAAATGCTCTTCCTACTTTTCACTTCCTAATAGTAGTATGTAACTTATTTTTCATTTGAAGGTAACTTATTTAACATATTGTCATCAATACTACAATATTCAGAGTTGAAGTAAAGATAGTGACTTTTTTCTGCTCACAATTCTTAGAAATACATCTTGCTGGTAAGTCAACATTAAGAAACCCCTCTCAGTAGAGAATCATTTATTTGCAATAGAATATAGACATAGTTTCTGTCATCCAGGAACTACTTCTAGCTCAGTGGTTACCAAGGTCTCAAAGTGTAGTCCTGAAACCAGTAGCATTAGCATCGCAGGGGAACCTACCAGAAATGAAAATTCTGGGGCCCCATTCTAGCCCTACTGAATCAGAAACTTTGGGAGCGGGGCTCAATGATCTGTGTTTTTACAAGCCTTCTGGTCAATTCTGATGTGTGCTAAAGTTTGAGAAATATTATTCTAGAGTAAGAGATACCATTGTAGTGTAATATTACCAAATAGCAGAAGTTAGATTGCAAGCAGTCTGTCTCCCTTCATTGTGATGTTGTTGGTCAGTCTAACTTTAAATTGCCTTCAATTGATTCAGACATTCTAAATACAAATCTGGGTGTAATTCTCTTGCCATTTCCTTGGACTGTGAAAAATGTGAAATGCAAAAAGAGGAAACTGAAGGAGAATAAATATAGTCTTTCCTCAATAAACTGTGAGTGTATTTCCCTATAAGTCCCTACATACCTGTAAGTTTTGTGATACCTGTTTTGCATTACAGGCTGAAGCAAGACAGAGAATGGTTATTGTGTTCATTCTTTCTTGAACTGGAGAAAAAAATGACAGTGACTCATAAAATATCAGAAATTAGAGGTGAAGGAGATCAGACTTCATATATCATCTAGTTTATTCATTGCCAGAACAAGATTATTTCTTACAGTGTATTAACTGGTGTTTTGTTGAGCCTAATTTATTTAACTGGTTAACATATTTAGTTTTACATAAAGCAGACCATAGACTCAACCTGATATTTTTCTATTTTCAATACATTTTGGTAGGTAGTTACATCTGAAACATTCATAAGCACTCTATCTCATGTGCTTATAGGCATATACTCTCATTCCCTGTTCACAACCTTAGCCCTACCTGAGTGTTCTTCTCAAATCAAGTTTCTAAAGCTGGACTTCTTGATGTACTCATAAATATTTTTAAAGTATATAGCTTAAGCAAAACATGCAACTAGAAGAACTAGTAGAATATAAAGCGTGTCAGTGTATCTATGGCACTGAGATAAAACAAAACCAAACTAAAGCAAAAATCACACCATTTTTAATGGATTTTGCAGTATCTTGAATTGCTCTGGAAAAACTTCAGGTAGTGACTTGAGTAGTTGGGAAGGCTGTACGTTTAACTTTGTGTAGCAAAATTGCTATTCAGTTATCTACATCAGAGTTTATTCATTATTCATTTATTTCACAAATATTTACTGAATAATCAGCATATACCAAAGGGTACGTGTCTTATTAGCTATGTATATTTACTAGCTGTGTAAATGTAGTTGGCATTTAATATTGCTAGGTGCAATTTTCTCTTCTGGAAAATGATACAAATCTCTAGGAATTATTGAGAGAATTAAATGACATATTGCATGGGAAAAAAGCTGAGAAGAATTTCAACACATGGTTAGTAAGATTTAGATATCATCACCACCACCACCACCACCACCACCATCATTATCATCATCATCATCATCACCATCATCATCATTATGTATAAGGAACAGTGGAGCAGAAAATTAAATAAACATCAAGACTATCATTGTTCAATATTGATAAAGATATTCTTTATAAAGATCTAAGTAATAGTCTGTTCCAAGTGTCCTGTACATCTAACTTGGTGTGTCTTTTTAAAATATGTACACATTGAGTGAGAATATGTGTGTGCTTATGCACATGCATGAATGCTTGGATGTGTTTTAGAAATACTTAGAATATCTCTCTGATAAATAAAGTTCCAGAGAATCTCTTATTGAAGCTGGTTTAGTGGGTAACCATGCATTTCTAAAAGCCTTGAGAATAGTGAATTCATTGCCCAAAGACCCACATATCAGAGTAGCATATTCAGTGAATTTAGAAAGCCTGGCCTGCAATTTAAGTGATACACAAGAAGAATTTTTAAAAAATATTTTTCTACATCTTAGGTAGGTTCAACAAGTAGCTCTTAGAAGTGGAAAGCACATATGTGACATATATGTGATTTGATTACACATGTCTTTGATCTAAATATATCCACATATATAAGATAAACATATTTTATATGTTTAAATATGATTATAGTTTAAATCTTATCTAATCATATTTTTAAATGCAATAATAAAACATTATAAAGATTACTTTTTGGAATGAGAGTTGTAGGATATTTGTGCCTAGTATTTTGTATTACAGACATGTCTTATTGGATTATAATCCCCAAGCTTATTTGATGCATCAGTGATCTTTGCCACAGATTTCCAAACTGATAAGATTGGATCAGACTGTCCCAGATGATCAGCATCCTTACTCAGAAAGGCAATTTGAATATTTCACTTTTAGAAGATTTTCAAATAGTCATGTGATTTGTGGGAGCTTAATAATCAATGGACTGTAGATTAACAGTAACTACAAATTCTTACTCTTCCTGTTACTTTTATTGACCTTTATACTCCAGTTTCATTTAAGTTAATTCTTAATTTTCAGTGTTCACTAGATGGTCTAATATTTCACTTTCTGACTCAAGTTTCTCCCTGCCTTCTGCTTTTTTTTTTCTCTAGGAAATCAAATGTTTACTTTCAACACTGCTATCTAGGCTTGAGAAGAACATGAATACAATCTGTTTTAGCTTAGTGATATAAGAAACTAAAGTAGAATGTGAACATAGCTGAATGGAGAGCAGTGGGTGGTACTTATAAATGAAACTACCCTTTTTTTTTTTTTTTTTTTTTTTTTTTGAGACAGAGCCTCACTCTGTCACCCAGGCGGGAATGTGGTGGCACGACAATCTCGGCTCACTGCAACCTCTGCCTCCTGGGTTCAAATGATGCTCCTGCCTCAACCTCCCAAGTGGCTGGGATTACAGGAACCTACCAACATGCCTGGCTAATTTTTTGTATTTTTTAATAGAGACAGGGTTTCACCATGTTGGCCAGGCTGGTGAACTCCTGACCTCGTGATCCATCTGCCTCAGCCTCCCAAAGTGCTGGGATTACAGGCATGAGCCACCACACACAGCCTGAAGGTACCTATTAATTGGTAAGTTAAATGGAGTCTTTAGATTGCTTTAAACAATTGTTCTTTAAAATACTCATAAGAGGAGACTAGCTTCAGATTTTAGTGATGGCACACTATTGGTGGGAATGTAAATTAGTAGAGTCATTACGGAAAACAGTATGGCATTTCCTCAAAAACCTAAAATTAGAACTGTCATAGGATCCAACAACCCCACTGTTCAGTATATATCCAAAAGAAATGAAATCAGCATATTGAAGAAACATCTGCACTCCCATGTTTATGGCGCGCTATTCACAATAGCCAAGATATGGAATCAACCTAAGTGTCTATGAACAGATGAATGGATCTTTAAAATGTGGTATATATACCAAATGGAATAGCATTCAGCCATAAAAAAGAATGAAATCTTGTCATTTACAGCAATATGAATGAGACTGTAGGACATTATGTTAAGTGAAATAAGCCAGACACAAAAAGGCAAATATCGCATGTTCTCACTCATATGTGGGAGCTAAAAAAAATTGATCTCATGGAAGTAGAGAATAGAATGATGTTTAGCAGATTGGGCAGGGTAGTGAGAAGGAGGAATAAAAAGGAGTTGATTAATGTGCAAAAATACAGTTAGAATGAATAAGTATTAGTGTTTGATAGCATAACAGAGTGATTATAGTTAAGAATAATTTATTGTATATTTCAAAATAATGAGAAGATTTGGAATGTTTCCAGCACAAATGACAAATGTTTGAGGCAGTGGATACCCCAATTTGATTTATTACAAATCATTACACATTGTACCCTTGTATCAAAATATCGGTTGTATCCTGTAAATACGTACAACACTCTCTCTCTCTCTCTCTCTCTCTCTCTCTCTCTCTCTCTATATATATATATATATATATATGGAAACATATATATAAAACATATGGAAATATATATATATATATTTCAGCACGTTTAGTAAGATTTAGATATCATCAGCACCACCACCAGCACCATCATCATCACATCATTATTATCTATAAGAAACAGTGGAGCAGAAAATTAAATATGTATATACATTTCATATATATATTTCATATCTATCTATATATATATATATAGAAACATTTCAGTGATAGTAAAATATGAGGCTGTTTTGGCTGAGTCCTCTATGAATGAGACCAGCACTATGGAATTCTGCAACCACATTTTATGTACTTTGTTTGCAAACTCTCTAATCCAGTCACACTTCATAGCCTTCAATTAGTTTCAACATGGCCAGTCATTAAATTTTCGGAACACATCTGGGAGAAAGGAAAAAACACAACTATATCCTGAAGGGATCCCTACCTGTAATATCCTCCCTAGGCTGAAAATTGCATAATAACACCAACTTAATATTCATGGGACTTTGTTGCAAAGTGATAACCAAATTTGCATGTTTGTGTGTGTGTGCATAGATATATTAGGATTCAAAAGTATGATTAAATAGAAGCACAATAAGGAAAACTAAGATATGAAAAATATACATACACATAAACTGTGCAGAATATATTCATGTTTATATGTTTTCTTATTCTATTTCAAACTTTCTTCAATTATAGGAATATACAAAAATAGCTAGACTCAAGATTTTACTCTTTTTCAGTATTAATTATAACCTCCAGGTATATATTTTTATTTAATGTATAAATTTTTATTATCAAGTGATAAAAGAACTAAAGAGAGTTCAAAATTTTAATATAGTATCTCTGTTTTTTTGGAGTTAACATTTCATTGAAATACAGTATTTACAAGATGCCACAAATCACAATTATACAACTCAAAGATTTTTAATAAAGTGAACATAACCATATAAAGAGCTCCTGAGATAAGAGATGGAATCTCACGAGTCCCTCCCATGTCCCATGCTGCTCACATGTCTCACACCCCAAAGGTATTCCAGTTCCAGAGGGAGCTACTGTCCTGACTTCCAGCACTGTGCATCACTTTGTCTCTTTTTGAAGTTCATATACATTGAAGTACTAGCTTGTGCTCTTTTTGCCTGGCTTCTGTTTTTTAACATTATGATTGTGAGAGTTAACCGAGTTGTTGCTTGTAGTAATGATCTGTTTGTTCAATTTGCTGTTGCTTTTTTCTCTTTTTGCATTTCAACATATGAATGAGTACATCACAAATTACTTAGTCTGTTGGTACTAGACTTTGGTTGTTTCCGTTGTTTTGCAATTGTTAATGCCGTTATGAGTATTTTACATGCCTTTTTGTGTACATATACATGTACACCACATATCTATCTATGTATACATACATACATACATTCTTATTGGGTATATTCCAAGAGTGAAATTGTTGTGTCATATGATAGACATGTATTGAGTATGACACATTTCTTACAAATGTCTAGCATATGCACTTTTTTTTTTTTTTTTTTTTAGTGGAGAAAGCTGTTTTAGGAAGAAAAAAAATCCATGCGATTTTATAGAATTTTACTCATATAACTGTGGATTTGTGGTAAATTTCCTCATGGAAAACATAGCTTTTGCCATTGGCTTACCTATCACTGTCTCAGAAAGTAAATTGACTTAAAAAACTACATAGTAAATTAAGTATATATTTTCCTATGTGAAAGATTGATAAATGATTCTGACATATAATGCAGTGCCTGATACACAGTAAGCATTCACTAAAAGTATGTGCTTTGCCAAGGAAGATACACAGATGGCGAATAAGCATGTGAGATGAAGTACACCACCATATATCATCAGGGAATTTCACATTTAAACAACAATGAGACACCACTGCACACTTAGTAGAATGGCTGGAGTTCAAAACAGTGACAACATTAAATGCTGGCAAGAAGGTGCAGCAGCAGGAACTCTGATTCATTGCTGATAAGGATGAAAAATGGTGCAGCTACTTTGGAAGACATGTTGGCAGTTTCTTAGAAACTAAATATATTCATATCGTATATTCCAGCAGTCATGCTCTTTGGTGTTTACTCAAACGAATAGAAAACTTATGTTTATACAAAAACCTAAACATGAATGTTTGTGGCAGGTTTATTAGTAATTGCCAAAACTTGGAGACAACCAAGATGTCCTTCAATAGATGAATGAGTAAACAAACTGTGGTATTTTCATACAATGGAATATTATACAATGATTTCAGGAAATAAACTATCAGGCTACCTAAAGATATGGGTGAATCTTAAAAAGCATAATGCTAAAGAAAGAAGGCAATCTGAGAACGTACATACTGTATGGTTCTAATCATATTATGTTCTGGAAAAGACAAAACTGTGGTAATGGTAAAAGCATCAGTGTCTTCCAGAGGTTCAGTAGAAGTGAAGGAGGGACAAATAGGTGAAGAACAAGAAACATTTAGGGCAGTAAAACTATTCTGTCTGATACAGTAATGATGGATACATGTCATTAAAATTTGCTAAAATTGATAGAACTGCACAACACAAAGAGTGAACCCTAATGTAAACTATGGACTTGAGTTTATCATGAGGTATCACTATCAGTTCATCAATTGTGACCAGTGTACCATACCCAATACAAGATGTAACGGTAAGAAAAGCTGTACGTGGATTCGGAGAGGAAGTATGTGAGAACTCTCCGTACTTGCCAATCAATTTTTCTGTAAACTAAAGTTGCTATAAATAATAAAGTCTACTAATTTTTTAAAAACGTGTTCTTGACCACATTTTCCTCAACTCCTAATGTTGTCCATTCAGGTGGAGTATCAAAGTACTGAACTCAGAGCCAGGACAAAGTAGAAGTAACATTTTTGATTTTTGTATATAACATTGTATTGGTCAGCTATCCCAATAATCCACTTTTAATTGAAGAACACTCGAGTTATTTTAAATATATATATATATATATATATTTTAAAAGGCAGTAAATATTTGGAGGACATTATTATTAGGGAATTCAACAGATGAAATTATTATGATATTTGAATGAATAACAATTATCTTCTGGATCTTAATCTTTTTAAAAGCCCATTTATATGGAAAATGAATCATAATAAGATGTTAAGCCCCAGGGAATATAACAGTTACCTTCTCTACACTTTAGAGTGCTTTCTCACACTTTAGTGCTTTCCACCTTGAAAACTTGTCAGAAATGTTCCTCATATTTCAGAGACAGTACATTTAAAAAATTAAACTCCATACTCTTCCAAGGTATCAGAAAGGTACATCCTGTTTAAATAGTCTCCCTGATGTATGTTTTTAGACTCTAAGTATATATTTGAATAAAAATCAGAATTAACTAATTAATGAAAAGAGAAAACCTTTGAAATGAGTCTGATTTTTTAATGCATCTGGCTCTCTATTTTTTCCTGCTCCCATTCTGAAAGAACTAACTTCCCATCAGTCTATACGTCAAAAACATAGTGTCCCTTTCACCATGTAATCTCAAAAGTGAAGGTTCATTAGTAAAAATCAAATAGAGTAGGTTGATGAAAATGTGGATGGTAAGGTTTTAGAAACAGGAAGAAAAACATTTTTTAAGTAATTTTGCTCTAGTAAGGAGCTTAGAAGTGGGGCTACTGAAGAGGAATGCAATGTCTAAAGAGGACTGTTTTGAGGTCAGATACCTAAGTATGCTGCTGAGACTGATACAGCAGAGACGGAAAATTGGATGGGAGAAATAGGGGGAGTGGTGGCGAGAAGTCCTTGAGTAGGTGAGAGGGGAGTAGCAGCGTTGGCCTAAAATGTGAGCAGGAACAATTCATCCAGAATAAGAGAATTGCATAGCAACATTTGCAGGCAAGTGGTTAGAGAAAGTATCAGGAAATTTCATATGTTTTCTAATTGCATCTCTTTTTCTCAGAAAAAAAAAATGGGAAGAGGGGTTAGCAAATAAGTGATGCTGGTAGAACACTCAGAGCTGGAAATTTGCAAAGAAGGGAAAGGTTAGAAAGTCTGACATAAGCCTGGGACAATAAATTGAGTGACAAAATACAGCAAGAAATGTATCCCATTGTGCATGCTGTTAGATTGCAGAGTATAATCATAGCATTAAATACCTGTTTTTGAATTCTAAGAAATAATATTTTTAAGTCATTAATTCTGAGAAATTGCTTATACAAATGAACAATGGCCGGAGCATTCATAACAATAGGTCTCTGACCCATGGTTTCTGCAGCAACCAGCCAAGGAAGCCAAACTACCATTTCTGCAGAATGGTCAGGGCTTGGTCAATGACTACCAGCTTCCAACTCAGAACAAACCAGAGAAAGCCAAATATGCTCCTAGAACCTATCACATAAGATTCTCCACCTTAGTGAGCTTGCTTCCAGCATGCCCATTTCAGTAACCTCCAATTGTAGTGTACCTGAAGCCTTCTAATTTTTTCACTATCATACTTTCCCATTCCCCTGCCTGCCTTGTAGTCTCCAACAAATGCAAATAATGGTGCTATCCCCATGTTATAATAGGCTCTGAATAAATAATCTGTTCTCATTTGTGTGGCCTACATTTTTTCCACATTAACTTTGATATTGTGTAAATATTGCCTTTCAAAAAACTATATACAGTATGTGTATCACTTCAGTAGAAAAAAAGTTAAACTACTTGGTATCCTTTAACAACAAAACTGGTGAGCTTATTGATTGTTTCCATTTTTCAACTACGTAGATGAGAACATAGTGTAGTGACAAGAGGATGTGGTGCAGGGTTGCCCCCAAAATGGGGCTTAGCCCAGGAGAGTTCTAGGCTTCACTAAGGAAAGAATTCAAAAGTAGGCAGACAATGAAAGCAAGTTTATCAGAGCAATAGTATATAGCAAAATGGCTGCTCCATAGACAGAACAAGGCTAACCCATAGGCAGAGGAGCCTAGAGTAGCCATATAAACCAAAATGACTCTCCATAGGCAAAGCAGGACTACCACATGGGCAGAGCAGCTCAGCAAAGCAGCAATGGCAGTTCTGAGAAGCAGCAGGAGCTTACAGCAACAGCAGCAGTTCAGAGGAGGACCAGCAGCTGCAGCAGCCTCCCCCACTGTGAATTGCTGCCTGACTATATTTATACCTACTCTAAATTATATGCTAATTAAGGGGCAGGTCACTCAGAATTTTCTAGAAAAGGGGCGAGGGAGTTCCTAGAAGCATATAAGGTGACTCCTAGGTCATTGCTGTGGCATTTGTAGAACGTCATGGTGTCGGTGGGAGTATCTTTATGCTAATGAGCAGTGAGGGCAAGTAGAGATCAGTTTCATCACCACCTGCTGATATAAAGAGTCTTCTCTGCTACATTCTATTTTGATCAGCAGGGTTATTTTCGGTGCTTAGAAAAAGTGTTGATGGTCTTCTACCTCAGATGGGCTTTGGAACAGGCATATGTAGTCTCAAGTCTTTGTTTCTTCATAAATCAGTTGAATCACTTTGGTAAAGTTATTTAACCTCTAATGCTACAGGTTTCTGATAAGTAAAATGGGGTAATACCTGTTATCTCAGATGACTTTTTGAGAAGAATATACAAAGTATGCATAACTCATGGGGCTTAGCAGACTTATAAAATAAATTATTTTCCTCTTGCAATTCTCCTCCTTCCCCTTGACCCATTCAATTACATTGAAAATGTGTTTATGTAAAAATAGCCCCAAAATAACAAGAACTTTTAAAAAAGGTTTTGTTTTCCAGTCCCAGCAGTCTGAAAACCACTGTGTCACTGGAGCAAATCTAAAAAGTAAAAAGGATTGTCTGTGTTTCACTAAGCCACCATTATTTGATTTGTTTTGTTCATAAAAGTTTACATGCTAGGAGATTTCTTCAATGATTTCTTTTTAAGGGAGCAAAATTTCTTTCTTCAATCACCATGTTCAGGTCAAAGTACCTTGTCATCTTTACTTCTGATAGTTCCAATATCTGCACAGTGCTGGGCACGAGGCTGAAGCCATTGTGTTCTGGATTGAAATATGTACAGAGAGATGAATAATTATACTTCCTCAATCTCCATATAGAATCTCAGAGCAAATTTCCAAACTCCTTTGAGAAAGAGTTCTGTTTAATTCAATGAAACAAGACAATTACCAGTAGGTGTAATTCTAGGAACTGAATAACTGGCTGAGAAGAGATTTACATAAGTAATTATTAAGAACAAAGTTCGTATATTAGTTCATCTAACTCTTCAGTTGTTAAGATATAAAAGTTGCTCTCTAGAACTTGGAAAAACTCATTAATTTATATCTAGCTTTCACAATTAGGTTAGCTTTGTACTTACAGAAGCTATATTTTCAGCATCTAAAACTTTCGTTTCACAGATCCAATTATACTTAATTAGATTTGTGAAAAGAAAAAACAGTTCTCATTTGTGTTCAATATATAAACTAAATTTCTATTATTTTTACATATCTTTCTAAATTCTGTTAATCTTTGTGTTAACTTACATTGTTATAGTTATAAAATTGGTACCTTTTAAAATGATGCTGATACTGTTTATATAGTATCATTACTTATTTCCTACAAGTGGTATAGAATATAAAATGTTAGAAGCTTTTATTAACACTAAAAGATAAATTTTTAATGAAAAGAATTCATTCAAATTGTATTTACAAAATATATTTTAGTGGGTTTTTACAAAATAAAGTTATATGAACCATCAACTTTGGATATCAATTCATATCTTTTTTTAAATATTAAAATGAAAATTGAAATCAGATTTGTTTCTTTTTTAAAAAATTCTACTTTAAATTCTGGGGTACATGTGCAGAACGGGCAGGTTTGTTACATAGGTATACATGTGTCACAGTGCTTTGCTGCACCCAGCAACCCGTCAGCTACATTAGGTATTTCTCCTAATGCTATCCCTCCCCTAGCCCCCCAATCCCCAACAGGCCCCAGTGTGTGATGTTCCCCTCCCTGTGTCTATGTGTTCTCATTGTTCAACTCCCACTTATGAGTGAGAACATACGGTGTTTGGTTTTCTGTTCTGGTGTTAGTTTGCTGAGCATGATGGTTTCCAGCTTCATCCATGTCCCTACAAAGGACATGAACTCATCCTTTTTCACAGCTGCATAGTATTCCATGGTGTATACGTGCCATATTTTCTTTATCCAGTCTATCATTGATGGGGATTTGGGTGGGTTCCAAGTCTTTGCTATTGTGAATAGTGCCGCAATAAACATACGTGTGCATGTGTCTTTATAGTAGAATGATTTATAATCCTTTGGGTATATACCCAGTAATGGGATTGCTGGGTCAAATGGTATTTCTAGTTCTAGATCCTTGAGGAATCACCACACTGTCTTCCGCAATGGTTAAACTAGTTTACATTCCCACCAACAGTGTAAAAGCATTCCTGTGTAAAAGCACATCCTCTCCAGCATCTGTTGTTTCTTGACTTTTTAATGATTGCCATTCTAACTGGTGTGGTATGGTACCTCATTGTGGTTTTGATTTGCATTTCTCTAATGACCAGTGATGATGAGATTTTCTTCATGTTTGTTGGCCTCATAAATGTATTCTTTTGAGAAGTGTCTGTTCATACCCTTCACCCACTTTTTGATAAGGTTGTTTGTTTTTTTCTTGTAAATGTGTTTAAGTACTTTGTAGATTCTGGATATTAGCCCTTTGTCAGATGGAGAGATTGAAAAAAATTTCTCCCATTTTGTAGGTTGCCTGTTTACTCTGATGATAGCTTCCTTTGCTGTGCTCTTTAGTTTTCTTAGATCCCATTTGTCAATTTTGGCTTCTGTTGCCATTGCTTTTGGTATTTTAGTAATGAAGTCTTTGCCCATGCCTTTGTCCTGGATGGTATTGCCTAGGTTTTCTTTTAGGGTTTTTATGGCTTTAGGTCTTATGTTTAAGTATTTAATCCAACTTGAGTTAATTTTTGTATAATGTGTAAGGAAGGGGTCCAGTTTCAGCTTTCTGCATATGGCTAGCCAGTTTTCCCAATGCCATTTATTAAATAGGGAATCCTTTCCCCATTGGTTGTTTTTGTCAGGTTTGTCAAAGATCAGATGGTTGAATTCTTTTTAAAACAAATTGCTATCAGTATAGTATATCAAAAATAATCATTGGCATAGAAAAATACAGAAATATTTTTTAGAAAATTTGTAGTTAATTGGAGCTACCAATGATGCATATACAAAAAACCATAATATAATCTAGAATTATTAGATGAAGGAAGTAGCTGGCAACCACCTAAGGGATAGGAGGCCAACAATGGCATCAACTTCTGATAAGCTAAGTGTAAATACAGAGAAATGTGAAGCTTCTCCTTGTTCACAAACTAACAAACCCCTCACAATAATTTTCTTCATAGACTGTGAAGATAACTAGCATGAACTTGATAATTTTGATAAATTTTAGCTAATACAAAAAAAATCTGAGATAAAATTTTTATTGAAGTAGGAAAAGTTATTGATATAGCATAAAATGTCGTGATTCTATCTTTACGTAAGCTATGTGGAAAGCACCTTAGAATACTGTTTTGTTGTGTGTGTTTGTTTTCCTTTTCCTTCCGCAAAGGCTGGAGACTGTTCAATAATGGACAAGCACCAACAGTAGGATTTAACAAGACACTCTGAAAGATGATCAAACTTGTACTGCAAACTTCAACCTTCTTAAAACAATAAGACAACACATCTATCATATGTCTTGTTCTGAGGAATCAAAGCCTGTTGCTGTAAAGGTGCTGTGGCTTCCTCACCATAACCTTTATTTATATCCTCCTTAGAACACATTTTCTCATTGAATAATCATTACCATGCAATCATTAATATCTTATTTGAAAATAATACAGAGTCATTTCTGTTGCAGTGAAGCACTGATTGGAATATTCTGAAGCTGAGGATAAGTAATACAAGGTTCATTTGGTTAGAAAGATGTTCATTATTCTTTGCTACCATTGCCTTCTGGCTGCTTGAAGATCAGGGCCTTGATCCAGTGTTTGCTTTTGCCTCCTGCATTTAGGGAATACTCCTGTGTTGTAAAGTCAGAATCAAGTAAGACGATTCACTAATAGTTGCAGATTTTCAGTTATTTTTCCAATTCATTTGAAGCATCCATAAATGTTTTTAAAACAAATTTAACAAGGTATTTTTGTGAGGTTGAACACTCTGCCCTGAAACATGTTGAATGGAGATAAAGACTGAAAAAGACAGTGTGATTCACAGGCTGTGTTGGGAAAATAAAGGTCCATTGATAAGTTTTTAAGGCGATAAATTGAGATGATTAATTTTAACACTCCATTCAATTGTTACTTAATTGGGCAATTTCAAAAATTTTCTTTAAAACTCAGTAAACTGCAAAGAGTTGAATTCTGTAATGAGCCAAAATGATATTCATGAAAACTGTGCTATGTTATTTGTGCACGATCTGCATAATAACCAGTACCAGAGCCACTCAACTTCTCTCAACAGTCATGGCTTAATGAGATAGTTATCCACTCCTAACTCCAAATGTTTCCTTTTTTTTGGTCTTATTCAATATCAGTAAGCATCTGTCAGAAATGCTTACAATTATATAGAAGCACTGCCTTCAGTTTTTCTCACTAGTACCAAAGTGACTTTAGCTGAGCTTCTTCTTGTTAGCTAGGAATTTGATCTGCCTTCCAGCAGCATTTTTGGAGACTGTATTAGTTTCTAGGACTGCTATGATAAAGTACCAAAACCTGGGTGGCTAAAAACAACTGAAATTTATTCTTACAAGGTACTGGAGGCTAGAAGTCCAAAATCAAGGTAATGCTCTCTCTGAAGGACTAGTTTTAGGGGAGAATCTGTTCTATGCCTTTCTCTTAGTTTCTAGTCTTGCTGCAATTCTTGTCAGCCCTTGGCTTGTAGAGGCATCACTCCAATCTCTGTTGCTGTCAACACACAGCATTCTTCTTTGTCTCTTCACATCTTCTCTCTGTGTGTCTTTCTGTGTCTCGTCTTGTGACACCAGTCATATTGGGTTAGCAGCCCTACTCCAGTATGACCTAATTTTAACTAATTGCATCTGCAATGACCCTATGTCCAAATAGGTTCTCATTCTGATGTACTAGGAGTTAGGACTTCAACATGTCTTTTTTAGCAGAAGGCAGGCAAGGAGACACATTCAATGCGTAATGGAGAAGAAGTTTTATGATGGAAATAGTACATGAAGTTCTTAGCTGCTCATTAGGCATTTAGTTCATGGTTGTTTTATGTTTCATATTGCTATATTAATATGTGGTATATGTTTATTCTCTACTTCATTTTACAGAGGATTGAACACAGCTTGAACAAACACACAATATAAGCGTGATTAAAGAAAACTTAAACAGAACTAAAGAATGCATAATATAAGTAAAATTAAGACAAGCAGGGAAAGAAGACAGTTTAGGAAAGGAGAGTACATTCCTGAACACAGAATTGGACAATTAGAGATCATAGTTCGAATTATAGCTTTACTGTGTACTAGCTGTATGAACATGGGCAACTTCCCTTTCTCATCTATCCTGATAATAATCTTACCTTGTATTCAACATAAAGCTTTTCATTCAGGATAAAAAACAATGAGGTGATTTTGTTAAGTTGCTTTGCCCTGTGCCTGACAAAAGCTGTGTGCCCTAAAAGATAGCACTTACTAATGTATTAACTTTGAAAAAAATAAATATACCAATAATTTTACTGTAAGGGGTTTCAAATTTGCCTTTAAGCTCCCTAGAAGCCAAAGCAAAAAGAGTTATATGATTAAGTAAATAATCATCACATTCATGTAAGAGCAAAGCCACTGGTTCCTTAAAGGAAGCCAAACTTTGCATTTATAATTTCCCAGAGATATTTCTCATCTAAGACATTCTATTGAGAATTCTGAATTATTAGTGAAAATGGTCCTAAGAAATGCAGTGTTGAATATTTTTAGTGCATGTGTCTTATAATATTCTCTGAGGAAATTTAAAGTACATGAAAAATACAAATCCCTGAAGATGTAAGATAGTTTTACTTAGGGTACATTGTATTTGATAGAAAGAATATATAGTTTTTAATCTTCCACAAATGCCACTTTTGTGACTCAACTTTTTTTAATTGAGTCTACATAAAATTTGAGTTCGAGGTGAGATGAGAATTTGCATATTACTTATCATGTTGACCCAGTGGCAGTACTCTTTAATTTATGTCATTTATTTTGCTCAACTAATATTTAAGTGCCAACTATACATCAGCTTTACTGAGTGTCCAGGAATTGATAATAAATAAAAATGGATAAGAATTTCTGTCTTCATGTTGTTTACTTTCCAGTGTAAGGAGGCAGGGAACAAAGCCTGAAATCCTGTTTCTCCATCCCCCACCTATTCTTCTGTGTCTAGCAGTCCAGTCAGACTAGTCTGTCATTTCAAAGCTTCTTAAACATCTGATGATGACTTCTTCCCTTTCATTAAAAATCAAAATTGTTAATTTTGTTTTCCTCATGACCTGAGAGAAAGTAGAATGTAGAAAGTGGCTGTTTGGTTGCTATGAGGTGGAGTTTTTAAGGATATTGAGGAAGATAAGAAAATCATCTGTTACTCTCTCATACCCAGTTGAATTTTCACCATAACAGGCTAGGATGCTAATCCAAATTACTCCCGACTACATACATCTATGCAACTATAAAATGAGAAATACTATTTTAAAGAATTTTGAGACTGTGTGTATAAATATATTAGCAAAAGTTTTAAAGGTTTTAAATAAGTGGCAGCAACAATGTTGAACTTTACTTGAGCCTTGTATTCCCAGAAAACAACAATGGTTGAGAAATTTCTCTACCTTTTATTCTCTGAAATCTATCTTCCTTTTTTTATTCTGAGAAATTACCAGAAAGGGCCACTCTGCCCTTGCATATTCTAAGACCCACCTGTGTGTGCCCTTCCTCATGGCTCTCCTCTTTCATAAAACCCCAATTTTCTGCCTTGAAAAAAGGTTTTCCTCATTAGTAACAATTCTCCCTATTGCAATAGCCTGTATAAAATCATCTCTTTAATTATCTCATGCATTATGTGTTTGACAACAATTATTTTTTTACTTTCATAAAGTCAATGCATACTTTTGCTTATGTAATTTAATTATGACATAGAATTAAACACGTAATGAACCACTCCTTTAGGAATATTATTTCATAAAGACTTAAAGAATATGCTCTATTTTTCTTCTTTTATAATTATGTTGACTAAGAGCAATGAACATATCTTTTAAAAGTCTTACAGAAAATACACACAAATGAGAATAGATTAGTTCTCTGCAGTTTTTTTTTACATCTGCTTTATGAGAAACATGTTTTTGGTGGTGAGAGTTTATTTATTGTATATTTAACCAACTATTGTGAAAGTCCTTAAAGTTTCATAAAAATATGTGTAGTTTTTTTCAGATAAAACTTTTGACCTGGAGAGTTCTTTTAACCCATTAGAGCGGTTAATCTTCTTTACCTAAGCCTGTGTCTATGCATAAATATTTTGATAGACTCTATTTGGGTAAATTTAGGGAGCCAGAAAGTTGTAATCCTCTAAAGAAATAGTGACATTTGTTTTCCATTGAACAGAAGAGTTCTTTTTTTCCATGCATTTTTAAAGGATTCTGCCCAATTTTAATATTAGAATATTCTGAAAACTGGCATTTATAGATATGGATTTTTTATTCTGAGTCCAATTATCAGTTTTTGCAGGATCAAAAACGTGCATGCCAAAAGACCTCTGGGAATTTTTATGTAAGTATTCAGGTATAACTGGAAACATCCACATGCACTGGGTAGTTTAAAATTAGCCATTTCCTCACAAGTTCTTGCTGCTTCTTTCAGTTCCGGAGGCTGTCAGGATTTACAGGATACCTTATTTACTTAGAATAATTCAAATACCTTTTCTTTTTTGTCCAAAAAGCAGGGAGAGAGTACCTACGCAAATAGTTAAAGTGAACAAAATTATGAGAGATATATTTACCTACTTAAGAAAATGAAGAGTTTTAAAACTCTTTGGAAGCAACTGTTTTATGCCATACATTTGCAATGTAAACAATGGGGAGCTATATATATCCAGGCCAATGTTGTGATACATTTATCAAGGCCATTCTTAGCTATTCATTAAAGCAAAACAAGGGACATTCTGCCAGTCAATTGTCCAGTGCTGGCTGCCACCTTCTCTTCACTGGGAAAAACAAACAACAGTAAAAATCCCAGCATTTATTTGAGGACATTGTGTAGAGTAATAATATCATTGAGTACATGTTTTGAATTTGCTTTGGAACAAATTGATTTATTACTACAACAATTTAGCTTTGTGATTCCTATTACCCATTAACTGCTTTAAATAAGAAAACTTTTTTTCAAATAAGATAAACTTACCCAAAGCAGGAAAATCCAAAGGAAGATTATTTGATCCCAAATTTATATTTTTCTGACTCTAATTTTACTCATCTTCTTTGGCTATCAATGAGAAAATGGAAGAATTTCTTCCATTAGCTTGTCTTGTTCTTGAATTTCTTCCAGTTAGTCTTGTTCTACTGTCTTAGTTGGTACTATAGCAGTGGGTTGTTCAAATATAGTGCTTTCTGAAATGTGAAATACCGAAAATTAGTCTGGCAATGTGCTGCTTGGAAGGAACATATGCTGCACCGTCTGGCAACATGTGGCATAGTCACATAGGGCAGAAACACTGCATACTCTGTTTACTTGTTGGAGACCCACAGTGCACTTTCTTATACTGAAGGTTCTGATAAGTCTTGCAATAAGCATGTTTAATATTATTTTAAAGTGTTCAATGTTTATGATCAAATAAATTTATGTAATTCTAAACTAATATATTAAAGGGCTTCATATAACAAACTAGATATATTATCTAGCATGATGAACCTTATTATAAACATATGCAAGGCAGTGGGTAGCCTCTCAGTAGCCTCACAGCCAGGCTTCACAAAGGAATGTTTTGTTCCCCATGGTAAATAGTCATCCAAATGACCTTTTGGGTAGAAGAGCAATGCTAGGGTGATCCGTTCCTTCAGTATTTTCAGTAGTCATTATTATTCCTCTTCTCTAATGCCATTGTGGGAAGCCAGTATACCAGTTGTGGGAGCAATGGGAGCAGTAGAAGTAGTGAAATGATCACAGATTGAATCCTCTCCAAAGACACAGTTAATTGGATTTTTAATCATAAGCCAGTACAGGCAGCTCCAGTCCAAAACACCTCAGAGATTCCTGGCCAGTCTAGACAATTTTTTAAATCACAGGTCAACGTGTTTAATGCCATATGACTTACTCCTCTGCCCACAGTTGACTGGGCCAATGATTGGCAGTTGACTGGAAGTCACAGGTCTTATTTGTTATATGTTAAATTCTTATATTTACAAGGGTCACTTTATGAATCATCTATTCTTTAAAATTGGATTAGATGTCTTTCTGTGTTACTCAAATGAATTAAGAACCATCATGTGTATTTTAATTATTTGACACAACTTGTGAAATAGTTCGATGAGGCTAGTATTTGTACTATAATTAGTACTTAGCTAAAATTCAGTAAATCATTCTAGTTTGTTTGTTTGTTTGTTTTGAGATGGAGGAGTCTCTCTCTGTTGCCCAGGCTGGAGTGCAGTGGCACTATCTCCGCTCACTGCAAGCTCTGCCTCCAAGGTTCACACCATTCTCCTGCCTCAGCCTCCCGAGTAGCTGGGACTACAGGCGCATTCCACACACCCAGCTAATTTTTTGTATTTTTTAGTAGAGATGGGTTTTCACCATGTTAGCCAGGATGGTCTTGATCTCCTGACCTCGTGATCTGCCTGCCTCGGCCTCCCAAAGTGCTGGGATTACAGGTGTGAGCCACAGTGCCTGGCCGATCATTCCAGTTTTAGTGTCAGAGATTCAAAGCCTACATGATTTAACACTCAGTCTAAAGTTTTTTGTATCTGTCTCCCTCTTTCTTATTTACTGTACATTCAAGGTAGACTCAAGATTCACTCTGCACCAGTCCTCCATGATCCTTCTGTTTGGTCTTGCTTCATCAAGGAGAATTTTTGTGCAGTGCTACAGATGTCGTTGTATCATCCTTATTATTTTCTCCATCTCTCAAAAACAATTATATAAAAATCATTGTTATATCTGCTGAACTTAGCCTCATGTACATAAGCGGGGAATTGTTGTTAGGGGATTTATTGACCTCTATTTTAGTTTTGTTGTATAGTATATTCACTCGTTAAATTTACCCAGATCCTGTTTCTGCCTTAAAATTGTCTTTATGGTGATATTAACTGATGCAGATGCCCTATTAGGAATAGAAAATGCCAGTGTTTTCTTACTTACTCACAATGAAAAATGACCACTCAGCCAAGAAAAACTAGGTCTATGCAAATTTATGTTTTTGTCACATGTGAAATAACAGCATAAAGATAAATCCATTTGCTTGCTATACCTCTTTTTTCAAGGGGATTCTCCTTTGTCTTCCTCCGTATTATAAGCTTATGTTCTCATAACTGTTAATATAGATGCATTAAGAGGGGTGGTTATGGCTTGGCACAGTGGCTCACGCCTGTAATCCCAGCACTGTGGGAGGCCTAGGTGGGTGGATTACCTGAGGTCAGGAGTTTGAGACCATCCTGACCAACATGGTGAAACCTCGTCTCTACCGAAAATACAAAAATTAGCCAGACGTGATGGTGTGCACCTGTAATCCCAGCTACTCAGGAGGCTGAGGCAGGAAAATCGCTTGAACCAAGGAGGCTGAGGTTGCAGTGAGCTGAGATCATGCCATTGCATTCTAGCCTGGGCAACAGAGGAAGACTCCGTCTCAAAAAGAAGGGTGGTTACATAGAAAGTCTCAGAGGAGAACACACTCTTAGCATTTCAGGTAGTAGTTAACCCTCCCAAATTTTCTCATAAATAGCTGGTTTTTAATATGTGGTGAGGGAAGGTGAGACTCAGCACTATCACCAATGTTGTCTCATACTGTGATTCTTTCACAGATTGATAATGAAAGATGCCCAGTTCTCTTGATCCAGCCAATGTATTGCAAAGATAGTCTAGCACTTTGAATTTTCCAGTCCATCTTACTGTCAAATACCACTATGGACAGCATAAGAAGATACTGTGCAAAACGCTCAAAGGCCTAAAAAATATTCAATCTTAGATAAATAAATAGTTAAAAGGGTTATTCCTAGGAAAGAATGGCATAGCTCAACCTCTAAGGGATAACTGGTTGTAAAGATATATTTCTGTATCCACTTAAAATAGATTATTTTAGAAGAAGGCAAGAAGGAGTAAGGTTTTGTTAGTTTTACCCCTGAGCCGTAGAATGTATTAGTTCATGGCTGATGTGCAGCAAATTCTAACAAGATCTGTCAGCCCGTGGAGATGAGCCATTTGTGAGAATCCTCATTTATGTAGTACATATTTGTGTTTTCTGGGTATCACCTCTTTTTATTCCACTTTCATCTAGCCTAAACATCTAGTTTTTCTTAACAGATTTGATTCACTATTTGGCTTTCAGATACATTTATATCACCTACTCTCATATCCTACGTTATTATGTCGCAAAGAACAGACGCAAGAAAAGCTGTCTTTCCATGTTCACTCCTCTTTGACCTGTGGCATGGGCTCTAATTTCTCCCTAAAGATGTTCTGGATATTTTTTCCCTTGTCTTTTGCCTATTTGAAAGGGTAATCTAGAGGATCTATAGTAACCTTTTTTTTTTTTTTTCCCTCTCCTGTGCGCTTTTTCTGTTTCTCCTTTAGCTGACTTTATTACTACCAAACACCTCATTTTTCAGTCTGGCTCTATTTTCTTTTGATGTCATAAACTTCAGGATAAGGTGCTTTGCCAGATACTTGGTAAGCATTTTTATCTTTAAATTCTGCTGGCCTTTCTTTGATTGTTAAAGGGGTTCTTATGTTTTATTAGACTTTATTTTAACAGCAGTTTTAGGTTTATAGAAAAATTTGCACAGAAATCCCAGAGACTTTCCATATACCTCTCCTTCCTCACCTTCTATCCATTAACATCTTGCATTAGTATTGAATATTTGCTAAGAACTTGTCTTGATACAGTGTTATTAACTAAAGTTCATAGTTTACATTAGGATTTAATTTTTGCATTGCACAGTTCTATGGGTTTTGATAAATACATAATGTCATGTATCCACCATTGCAGTATCATACACGATGTTTTCACTGCCCTAAAATTGCCCTGTTCTCTGCCTGTTCATCCCTCCTCCCTCCCCCCTGAAAACCTGGCAGTCACTAACTTCTTTACTGTCTCTAGGTTTTCTTTTTTCAGAATGTCATATAGTAGAAATAAAAAAATATGTGTCTTTTCCAGATCAGCTTCTTTCAGTTAGCGATATGTGTTTATAGCTCCTTCATGTCTTTTTGTAGCTTGATAAGTTTCTTTTCTTTTCTTTTTTTTTTTTTTTTTTTTTTTTGAGATGGAGTCTTGCTCTGTCGCCCAAGCTGGAGTGCAGTGGCATGATCTCAGCTCAGCTCACTGCAACCAACCTCTGCCTCCCGGGTTCACGCCATTCTCCTGCCTCAGCCTCCCAAGTAGCTGGGACTGCAGGGGCCCACCACCACGCCCAGCTAATTTTTTGTATTTTTAGTAGAGATGGGCTTTCACCATGTTGGCTAGGCTGGTTTTGAACTCCTGACCTCAAATGATCTTCCCACCTCAGCCTCCCAAAGTGACGGGATTACAGGAGTGAGCCACCATGCCCGGCGGCAGCTTGATAAGTTTATTTTCTTATCACTGAATAATACACTTTTGGTGGGTGTACCATTATATATTATTTATTTGTGTACTTTTTTTCTGTTCCAGTTGGCCATTCCCATCTCTTAGATCCCCTAATGTGTGCTTTTAGACCTATTCTCCTAGTATGTTTCTTATCATAATCATCCTTTTTGTCTTTTCATCTGAACTTTAAGAGATGTCACAACTTCACTTATAACTGAAGTATTTTTTTCAATTTACCATTAATTTCCTCCATTGCAGATTTCATCAGGAATAATGCTTTCATTTCCACGAGTTATTTCAAGATCCCAATGATTTCATTCTCTCTAGATGTCTCCCTCCTACATCAAGTAACTGTCGACTCTCATCTTTATTGCTTGAACAGCTTCCTAACTTGTTTCCCTTTATATCCCCTTAATCTTTGTGAATCTATTATCCATACATAGATGTGCCAAAATGATATTCTAAATACAAATCTGATTTTGTCATGTTCTTGCTTACAGCGCTTCAGTTTTTTTCCCATTATTCTAATTTTGGATTTTTAAGATTGATATATTTGTACATATTTTAGGAGTACATGTCATATTTTGATACATGTGTATAATGTATAATGATCAAATGAGGATAATTGGAATATCCATCATCTCAAATATTTATCTTTTTTGGGGGGAATATTACAATTATTTTCTTCTGGCTATTTTGAAATATACAATAAATTATTGTTAACTATAATTTTCCTACTGAACTACTAGATACCAGAAGGAATTCCTTCTACCTAGCTGTGTTTGTGGACCCATTAAACAGCTTCTCATCATCTTTCCTATTTCTTTCCCCTTCCCAGCCCCTGGAAACCACCATTCCACTCTCTACCTCCATTAGAGTAACTTTTCTAGATCCCACATATGAATGAGAATATGCAATATTTGTTTTTCCATGCCTGGCTTATTTCAGTTGACAGAACAACCTCCAGTTCTATCCATGTTGCTGCAAATAACAAGATTTCATTCTTCTTTATGAGTGAATAATTTTCCATTGTGTATATATACCACATTTTATTTATCCATATATCTCTTTTTGGACACTTAGGTTGATTCTCTATCTTGGCTATTGTGAATGGTGCTACAATAAACATGAGAGTGCAGATATTTCTTTGACATGCTGGTGTTATATATATGTGTATATATATATTATATATATATCTGCTAGGTGTATATATTTTACACATATATATACACACTTACATATACATATACATATATATCTATACTTACATACACACACACACACACACACACACACACACTCACACACACACGCACACATTTAGCAGTAAGATTGCCAGATTGGATCATATGGTAGTTGTGTTTCTAGTTTTTTCAGGAACCTCCATACTGGTTTCCATAATGGTTGTACTGCTTTACATGCTCACCCACAGTATATGTGCATTCCCATTTCTTCACATCCTGACCAGCATTTGTTATTGTGCTTCTGATAACAGTTATTCTAACTGGGATGAGATCCTACCTTATTGTGGTTTTGATTTGTACTTCTCTGATTGTTAGTGATGTGGAGCATTTTTTCATATACCTTTTAGCAATTTGTATGTTGTTTTTTTTTGAAAAATGCCTTTTCAGGTATTTTCCCATTTTTAAATCAGATTTTTTTATACTGAGTTGAATTCGTTATATGTTCTTATTTATTCCTTGTTGAATGGATAGTTTGCAAATATTTTCTCCCATTCAACAGGCTTTATTCTTCACACTGTTGTTTTTTCATTTGTTTGTTTTTGCTATGCAGACACTTTTTAGCCAGATGTAAATCCCATTTGTCTATTTTTGTTTCTGTTGCCTGAGATTTTGAGGTCTTACCCATGAAATCTTTGCGCAGATTAATGCTCTGTAACATTTCTCCAGTTTCATAGTTTCAGGTCTTACATTTAAGTCTTTAATCTATTTTGAGTTGATTTATGTATATGGTGAATTATGAGAAGCTAATTTCATTCTTCTGCATATGAATATCCAGTTTCCCCAGCACCATTTATTAAGAGACCATCCTTTTTCCAGTGTGTATTCTTGACAACTTTGTCAAAATGAATTGGCTGTACATGTGTGAATTTCTAGGTCCTCTATTCTGTTCCATTAGTCTATTTTACATGTTCCTAGGATAAATTTCAAAATCCTCAGCATTCTTCCTGGTCCCTGGATGAGCTAGCCCTTGCTTCCCTCTCCAGCCTAATCATGTCTTTCCTCCTCACTCTCTTCTCCTGACCTCCTGGACTCTTTCTTCTTTGAACATACCATTAATTTTTCTTACTTGTAATGCTTCCCATTTGACTTTTCCTCTCTTTGCTTCATGCTTTCCCCAAGTCTTGGCCTGGCTAATTCCAAGTCATATTTTCCTTCTTGTCTTAAATGTCACTTGCTCAGGGAAGTCTTCCATGATTCCAAAAATTCTGTTGACAGCCTACTGTCATCTGTGCATCTGTTATAGAGGTGGTACAGTTCACCTCCAGAATGCTACAACCACTTGCAATTAATTCTAATTAATTTTGACTAGGGGAATAGCTTACCATTTAAATGCAGACATTGTTAAAGGCAGGAAGTGTGTTTTCATCATTTACAACAGTGTCTTCAGAGCTCAGCTCAGTGCCTCCAACAAAGCAGCTGAACAAAAGAGACTTTTGAAAGAGTGATTTTCCTCACCTCTTTCCCTTTTTGCACAGGGCTATTCTGGTTTCATAGATGCAATATCTCAAAATCTTGTTAAAATACAAATTAAACATTTGAAAATGTCTTTTTTATTCTTTGCAGTACTCTATTTCAGAGGATGTATTTGGTCTGATTTCTTGGAACATATTATCTTTTTAAAGATATGTGATTTTTTTCCCTATTTACTGGAAAGTATTAATCTCACTGATAAGGATGGATAAATTGGAATAGAAATAAGGTTCCTCTGGGATTGGTGAGGATATCTATCTGAAATTACGGTAAATCTATTATTTTCTTTTCAACTTTCATCTGAATTGGAAACATTCACTATGTAAATTCAGAGATATGGCAGCCTGAGTGTAAAGAGAAAATGAAAGCTAGAATCGGAAAGTTTGCCTCTGCAAGGAAGAGTTCCTGTTTCATGTTTTCCCAAACCATCAGAAGCTCTGTTTTGGACCTGACACAGCTGCTCTTGTCAAAAGCCAATCTCTTCAGGTTCCCTTTTATCTTCAGAGCAAGAGGCTTGCAGCTCAGTGTGGCTTCAGCAAACTGAACCCATCCTATAAGCATCAGTGAGTTTGAAGCAGGTCCCCTGACTGCCCCACAGCTGGCTTCACCTCTAAACTTACCCTGTTTATTAAAGATTGGACAAGCTTCCACCAGTATCTCCTTTGGTTATTTCTTATGCAGACTGTTCTTAGGCAAAGGAAACACATTTGGTTTTTTCTCTAATCTCATCTCATGTTCTCTAGATTTAGCTAAAATTTCTCATTGTTTATGACGTGGATCTCATTTCTCTTGTGCATGTTTCTCCTTGATTTGGATATTTTCATGAACATTTTAGAAGGAATTGCTCCCAAAGCACTAGTGTTCACTTGTTTTTTTTTTTTCCTTGCTCATATCCATTTAAAATATGATTGGCTTATGTCAATCACAATAGCCTCACTGTTTATATATGTCACAGAATATGCAAAACGGAGGTTGACACAGGTAGGGTGCTGGGAGACTGGCAACCTCACTGTGCAGTCAAGAGGGATGAAGGCCTAAGGGAAGGGTGTTGGTGATAGAGGATGTTAATCAATTGAGCTTCTCCAGTGGACTGGACCTGAAGTAGTCAGTGGTATCCTGTGTCTTGATTCTACTTCTCCCTTTATTCCCAAACATCTGCTATGGTGTATGTCTGTCTGTGGCATCTTCTTTCTGCCTAGGACTTTGCATTCTCTCTTCCCTAGGATAACTGACATTTTCCATCCTCTGTCAATACAAATTTATTGGTTCACCTCTTCTGCACTCTGTTGGAAGTAGACCAATTATTGCAGTTTACCCAGTAACAGAAAAAAGCACACATCTTGAGCACCAGAGAAACATTTGTACATTAGTCATTTCCTTTTACAGATTAAATCTACTTTGTAGCTTACATTCTCATGTGATGGGGAAACCATTTGATGACTGAGTTTAAGTGTTAACAGACTTCTCCAAAAGAACCTGATATGCAGTATGATCATTTTCTTGATACTTCAAATAGTGGCAATTTGGAGCAGTAGATCTTGCTTGTTTCTTCAGTTTGAAGGGAAAATTTAAGCAGCTTTATAGTTTTATTTTTATATAAGTCAAACCAATATTGCTTTTGGATTATCATTTCTACTAAAATTCATAATTGTCTATAAGAAAGTGGAATGACCCTTATTTCAGATAAATCAAAGGAAATATTAGTTTGCTTTTGAATAGAATCTATTTTGCCAAAATCAATCTATAAATGCATCTGGACTTGATTAAAATAACTTCGTCTTTATTTTTTTAACTTTTTTTGTAATGGTAAATGCTAGATAAATTATTATTATTATTATTATTATTATTGAGACGGAGTCTTGCTCTGTTGCCCAGGCTGGAGTGCAGTGGCATGATCTCGGTTCACTGTAACCTCTGCCACCCACGTTCAAGCAATTCTCCTGCCTCAGCCTCCTGAGTAGCTGGGACTACAGGAACCCGCCACCATGCCCAGATAATTTTTTTGTATTTTTAGTAGAGACGGGGTTTCACCGTGCTAGCCAGGATGGTCTCGATCTCCTGACCTTGTGATCTGTCCACCTCAGCCTCCCAAAGTGCTGGGATTACAGGTGTGAGCCATTGCACCCGGCCAGTAAATTATTGTGAATTATAACTGTGTGAGAATCTATTTTATGAAATATTTTACCAGAATAAAAGTTCTAAATGTCACACTAATGTGTGTGCATTTGTTGCATTTGTTCAACTTTCTAAAAGGAAAAAAATTGAACATTATTGACTAATACCTAAGGTAAATATTTTCATGTCTGATCTGACTATTTAACACGTGGGAACGAGCTGATGCAATTCTGAAAGGATGCAAATAGTCTGTTTTTATATTATCCACTGAAGTTTAACAACTGTGACTCCAAAGAAGAGGGAAGAGCCAATTGCCTTTTCCTCTTTATATTTTACTTTTCATTTGTGTCATAGACACTTGGATAATCTGGGAACATGAACTAGGAGATTTCTTTTCTATTACCAATGTGAAGGTTTCTTCATCTGTGAATATGTGAATATGGAGAACTCTCACTAGGAGAGTACAGTCCAGTAAGACTTAGGCCATTTCATTCCCAAACTAGTAATTATTTAGTTGTTAGTATGTGTCAGGCATTTTTCTAGGTACCAACTGATGATTACCATTTCTCAGTTAACATAACACTCACAACAACCTATGAGTTAGATGCTATTTTTATCCCCATTTCAGAGATGAGGAAGCTGAGGCATGGAGAGGTTAAGAAGCTTGCCCATAGTCACTTAAGTAGTAAGTTGCAGAATGGGAACTAAAATCCTGACAGTGTGGCTTCAAGAATATAACAAACCATGGAATGTTTATATAATGTCATGAGATTTTTTCAGTATACTTGATACTTTATAATATCTTTTTTATGAGGAGAATAAAGGATTACCCTTCTATGATTCAAATGGAAAATAAAACAGTTCAATAGGTGTCATCATTGTCAAACATCCTGGTTGTAAGATGATGACTTACAGAGAGAGAAACACAAACCAGATCCTATCAGAAGTAATTGGTCACAAAACAATGGGCTTCTGGAATCCTTCCTTGGTCTTTTAAAAGAGATCAACCTCAAGAGAAAACCTTATTCTCTGTTATGGACTGAATGTTTGTGCCCTCTCAAAATTCATGTTACTCTAACTTCCAAGGTGATGATAATTGTAGGTGGAGCCTTTGTGAAGTAATTAGGTTTAGATTAGATGTGAGTGAGGGTGGGGCCACATGATGGGATTAGTGTCTTTGTAAGAAGAGGATGAGAGACAGACTGCTCTCTCTGCCATGTAAGGATATAGTGAAAAGACGGCTTCTAGAAACCCTGAGGAGGGCCGTTACTTCTGATCTCAGACTTCCAGCTTCCAGAACAATGAAAAATAAATGTCTGTCATAAACCACCAAATCTATGGTATTTTGTTAAAGTATCTTGGACTAAGATACCTTCAGTGGTTGAGAAATCAGTGTGGCTAGAAGTACCTAGATTCTTACTTAATATTGTCCTAAATACAAAGTAAAGCCGTATCGATTAAAAAACCAAACAAATAAACAAACAAAAAACCCTGTGACTGATGCCTGTCCCGTAGAATTACGAAATTTTACTCCTTGATCTATAAGATAGACCTTTTTATAAGTCTGGGAGTCTGTGTCAGGGCAATTTTCCTGATATTTTGTTAAGAATTCCCCTGATCACGTCGGTGACAGTGATGACACCAAAATATCATCAAAGTGTAATTTTTATACCCATTCTAATTTTTTTTTGTTTGTTTTCCAACTAAGACAAAGAAACAAACAAATAGCCTCAGACATCTGTGTCTATACCTAGGTATTTTTCTCCTCACCTGGGAATGCTTGTCTAATAGCTTCTTTCTTGTTATGGCAGAAAGAATCCCTGCGAAGTGGCAATGAACCCATGTCACATACACAGTTGGACCAAATTTTACTCTTAATCAATTGTCTTAGCCACGTTATGGTTTTTTATCTAATTGTTTATTCGTAGGATGAGCTAATACCTTGCAACCAAGCAAATTTTTATGGCTCTCTATATAATTTCTGAACAAATAGAGTGTATAATGGAAATGAAAGTGCTGACATTGTGCTTTCTATAATGGCATGAGTGGACTCAGTATTACAAAGTGCTCTTTTATTGCATCTTTCCACCAGGCCATTTATATGAAGCATGGATTGAGATGTAATTTAGAAGTGTGATATTAGGACTTGAACCCAGTATGAAAACCATCCAACAAATAGACAAATGTAAATGATCCAGAAACAGAAAACAACGGACTCACCAAGGCCTCTGATAATTTAAACGTAGCTATTAGAGTCTTTCTGAGTGTGTTCTAAATCAGGCTTTGAATAAATGCTTTTTTATACACTTAGACCCAAATCACTTTACACTTAAAATATTAAGATAGATGAGACCAAGTTCTTTTCTGCTTGAATAAAAGAAAATCCTGAAGTCATTGTAAATTTGTTTTTAAAAAATAGAGACCCATTTTTCTGTGTACGCTTGTAAGGTAAGTATTTCATAGGAACTGAAATTTAAGGAACAATATTATTGATTCTGTTTATCGTTTCTATAATTTAACCTGAATCATTTGTCCTTTATTTCAAGAAAAAGAAAAATAGGAAAGTAAAAAAGTAAGTTAACTAGTAAGTAAAAGAAGCAAGAACAAATGAATAAGGCCATTTCTTTCTTTGTCATTATTTACTAAATATTGCCAAAGAGGTTACAGCAGACATTGGGTGGCTGATGAGGAGGGTTGATTCTAAAATCCTACACGTTGATAAATTCGGCAAATCTCATTGGATCAATATTCTAAAGGAAAGGAAGGGAGTGAGTTAGTAGCTGTTTATTTCATCTTATTTAATGTGTCTGCTCTTTCGTCATCTTTTTCTTTTTCTCTTCTCTTTCCCAATCCTCCAATTCCTCAGCCTCACTCAATACAAAAATGAGAATTAGTCACGGAGATAAGATTAGTCTGAAAATATTTGAAGTATTTATTTAATTAAAGAATGGATAAGTGCAAGAAAGAGAATAATAAGCTGAACTGGGGAAAATTGTTTTGCAACTGTCTAAAGGACCTTAATGTGTTAATTCGGTGTTTGTGGGCATTAGCTTATACTGGAATTTTAAGAATTCAAAGAAGTACAATTTTTTGGTTGTTATTCCTCCTATTTGAGCACTTCTTTCACCTAAAGTTTCTTCTCTCCTGTCTCATAAGCTTTCAAGTGCTTTTTTGCTGCTTTTAGGTTATTTGAATTCTTCCATTCTATATAAGTTTACATACTTCCCCTTATGTTTTATTTTCTTCCTCCTCTAACTAATCAAAATTTCAAAGAAATGGTGATAACTCAGTTAACTGTAGCTCTGATTAATATAATTCACACTAAATCTTATAATCTTATGATAAATAAGATTGTAAATTCACACTAAATCTTATAATAAATAAGAACCAAGTTCTCACAGGGCTTTTTGCATTTTTAAAATAAATATTGTCTTTCCAAATGATTCTGGAAATGGAAAAATATTTCAGTAGAACACTTTTTGCATTCTTGGTCTATGCTAGCCACCATCTCATTTGCATACTCTCAAATATTTCATTTAGTCAATATCTTTAGCATAGATGGAATAATGAAAGAGCATGGACATTGGAATTGAGACCCAGCCTCAAATACCAGCTCTACCACCAATTAGCTCAGTGGCCTTGAACAAGTTAGAAAACATTGATAAGCTTTTGAGCCTTCTATGAGAAGTTTGTAACAGTTTACTCCTGAGAATGATATGGGATAGTATATATAAAGCACCTAGAAAAATACCTTGCACCTTGCAGGCACTTGATAGCTATGGTATCTATTGAGTAAATGATTTGTATTTAATAGGATCACAAAATACTTAGGTAGGAACATACTCAAGAGATAATTGAGTGCATCTTCCTTATTTACAGATGAGAAAGCTGGGACTCAGAGAAGTCAAGTGTCTTACTAAAGGCAAATAAATAATTAGAAATGGGGTTAGAATCTATGGCTAATCTGTGGTTTAATTATTGTTCTTTATATTATTTTATACACTTGCCCCTCCAAGCCCTGCACCATTCTTAATTTTGCTGGCTTTTTACTGTGCCAGTCCACCCACACACTAAGAGAAATCACCATTTTCTTTGTCATTATTTTTTTTTGTCTGGAAGAGAAATATTCTTTTGCCTTTTTCTTATTTCATAATGATGGCCTATGAAAGTAACTGGCCTATTTTTCACAGGGTACTTTCTTCCGCCTTCTGTGTTTTTTCTAACAATAGTAGTTTCATAGCCTCTACTTTAGATCTGCCACATTTGATTCATTTTCTGAAATATTAATTTTCCCTCAGACAATTGGTTCTTCGTTCTGCTGCCTGTAATATCTTCTAACAGGAGATTTAGTTGAAATGATCCTCCTCCTTACAATATTATATTTTCTAGATTTTTCCTAGCTCAGGATTTAATACTACATATACATTTCATGGTAATGTGAAATTATTTCCATTGTACCTTAAAATGATTTTAAAACACATTACAGATTTAATTCCTTCTCACAGACAGACTCTACTTCCAAATTTTTCTACCTCACTGCAAAATAGGGGGGTGGCAGTGGGGGACGTGGGGGAGAGGTGAAGGAGTTTACATTGTCCTGCAAAAAGGACATACTTAGGTCAAAACAGTCAGGAGGAACAGTGCTCAGTTTCTGAATTTCCACTTCTCTGATTATCCAATCTATGTTTTTCTCAAGAGTTCTGCTAAATGTCTGTGCTGCTAGACAAAAATCCCATATAATATATGTAAATAGCTCTGCTAAATGTCTACACTGCTAGACAAAAATCCCATATAATGTATGTAATTACTTAAACTTGTATAAATTATGAAATATTTTAAAAATCTATAAAATGTATATTTTGGTTTTTAATTTTACAAAATAAAACTTCAGAGATACTGAAGCCCCACCCAATCTTTTTTTTTTTTTCCTCTCAGAGCAACCATTAACCTGGAGTTTGCCCTTATTAGTTTAATTCATGTTTTTACAAAGGAAATACATACAAATATACATATGAACCATAAATAGCACTGCTGTATGTTTTAGATAAATCATAATATCCTATTGTAGGTGTCTTTTTTTATAACTTTTTCTTTTCAACATTTTATGTATGAATTATGTATTAAAAGTGGATTTCCACTTCACAAATTTTAACTGCTAAAAAGGGTTTCATTTTATGACTATGATGACTAAGCCAGAGTTTATCACACTCCATATTTGGGCTAAAATCAATCATGCAATGTGAACATTTCTAGATGCTTCTTTTTGCACTTACGGAAGAACATCTTTAGGGTGACTACCTAAAAAAATTATATTTGATTTCACAGTGGCTTACCCTTGCACCATCATATAAAAAATTTCCATTTTATTTATCTCCTTGATAAGTGTGTGGTGCTAGTTTTTAATTTTAATTTGCTGTTTTAAAAAATAATTTAAAAATTGATATCAGTTTTTTTAACCTTAGATATAGAAGGCGTTTTCAAGCCTAGAAGCAATAACACCCTAAAATAATGAGAACATCTATCTCCTAGATCTTGGTTTCCAAATAAAATTCCTTATTCAAAGTAACCAAAGTGCCTAGGAAAAGTGACTGATTCTAGGAATGGTTCAGGGAAAGTTTGAAATGGGCCAGGAATGTCTTATTTTTCCAGAAATTACTCAAGAAAGAAAAAGAAAAAAGAGCACAGGAGCCAGTTTAATGAGACTTCCATTAACCAAATCTGTAAAACTTTAAGCATCAAAAATGAATAACTATGAAACAAAAAACTTCTTTGAAAAGATTAACAAAATTGATTAGCCTCCAGCTAAGCTAGCTAACATAGAAAAGAGAGATGACACAAATGACTATATCAGAAATGAAAGAGAAGACATAACTTACATGATCACATGTACATTGAAAGGATAATAAAGGAACACTATAAACATCTCTATGCCCACAAATTTCATAATTTAGATGAAATGAACCAATTCCCTGAAAGAAACAATATGCCAAAATTCACACAAGAAGAAATAGACACTCTATACAGGCCTATATCTATTAAAAAACTTGAATCAATAATAAATGCCCTTTCAAAACAGAAAGAAACATGCCCAATGGGTTCACTGGTTAATTCCAGCAAAAAGTGAGAAAAAAAGTATACCAGTACTCTACAATCTCTTTCAGAAGAGAGAAGCAGGCATAATACTTCCTAACTTATTCTATGAGACCAGCATTACCCTAAGATAAAAGCAGACGAAGTCATTACAGCAAAATAAAACTTACAGGCCAATATTTCTCATGAACATAGATGCAGAAATCCTCAACAAAATATTAGCAAATTGAATCCAACAATGTAGAAAAAGAATTATACACAACAGCTAAGTGGAATTTGTCCCAAGTATGCATTCAAGGCTAGCTCAAATTCAAAAAATCAATTAATGTAATCCACAATACCAACAAGCTAAAGAAAAAACACACAATCATATAAATGCATACAGAAAAAAATTTGAAAAAAAAAAATTGAACACCTATTCGTAATGAAAACAGAAACTAAGAATAGAGGGGAATATTCTCAACTAGATCAAGAGTATCTACAAATATCGTACAGCTGACATTATACTTAATGGTGACAAACTCAAAACTTTCTCACTAATAGGAAAAAGAGAAGGTTACCTCCTCTCATTACTGCTTTTGAACATCATACTGGAATTCTAATGCAATAAGAAAAAGGAAATAACAGATGTACTAATTGGAAAAGAAGTAATACTGCTTGTTCACAGATAGCATGACTGTCTATGTATAAAATCTGAAAGAATTGACAAAAAACTCCTGGAACTAATAAATGATTATAGGAAGATTATAGATTACAGGATACAAGGTTAACATACAAAAGTCAAACACTTTCCTATTTACTAGCAATAAACAAGTGGAATTTGAAATATAAGAACACAATGCCATTTATACTTATCAGCCCCCAAAATGAAATACTTAGGTATAAATATATCAAATTATGTATAATAACTATTTGAGGAAAACTACAAAACTGCGACTAAATCAAATAACTAATAAATTGAGAAATATTTCCTGTTCATAGATGGAAAGATTTCATGTTGTTAAGATGTCAGTTCTTTCCAACTTGGTCTACGAATTCAATGCAATTCCGAGAAAATCCCAGAAAGTTACTTTGTACATATCAACAGACTGATTATAAAGTTTATAAGGTGGGTAAAAGACCCAAAATAGCCAACACAATATAAAGGAAGAACAAAGTTGAATGTCTGGCTGTATTGATTTCAAGACTTACTATTAAAGTCATAGTTATCAAGACAGTGTGGTATTGGCAAAAGAATAGACAAATGGATCAATGGAGCATGATGGATATTCCAGAAATAGAGCCACATAATTAAAGTCAACCAATCACTGACAAAGTAATAAAGGCAATTACAACAGAGTTAAAATATATTTTTCAACTAATGCTGCTAGAATAACTATACATACACATGCAAAAAAATTAATCTAGACACAGGTCTTACACCTTTCCCAAAAATTAACTCAAAATGGATCATGGACCTAAATGTAAAATGCAAACTGTAGAAGTCCTGGAAGATAACATAGAAAATCTAGATGACCTTAATTTGGTAATGACTTTTTAGATATGACAACAAAGGTATGATCATGAAAAAAATAATAAACTGATCTTCATTAAAATTATAAATTTCTCCTCTGTGACACTGTCAGGAAAAATGCAAAACAAGTCATATACCAGAAGAAAATATTTGCAATCAAGCCATGAAAGGTACTGGAGGAAATTTAAATGCGTATAACTAAGTGAAAAAGGCCAATCTGAAAAGGTGACAAACCCTATGATGTCAACTATATGACATTCTGGAAAAGGCGATACTAAAAATATCAGTGGTTGCCAGCATTTAGGAGGGAGGGTGAGATAAACAGAGCACAGAATATTTTTGTTTGTTTTCTTCAACAGTTCAGTGATACATGTGCAGGATGTGTAGGTTTGTTACATAGGTAAATGTGTACCATGGTGGTTTGTTGCACAGATAATCCCATCACCTAGGTATTAAGCCGAGCATCCATTAGCTATTCCTCCTGATGCTCTCCCTCCTTCAAGCCTCCCAACAGGCCCCAGTCTGTGTTGTTCCCCTCAATGTGTCCATGTCTTCTCATTGTTCAGCTCCCACTTATAAGTGAGAACATGTGGTATCTGGTTTTCTGTTCTTGTGTTAGTTTGCTGAGAATGATGGCTTCCAGCTCCATCCATGTCCTTGCAAAGGACATGATCTTGTTCCTTTTTATGGCTGCATAGTATTTCATGGTGTATATGTACCACATTTTCTTTATCCAGTTAATTATTGTTGGACATTTGGTTTATTCTCTGTCTTTGCTATTGTAAATAGTGCTCCAATGAACATAGGCATGCATGTATCTTTATAATAGAATTATTTATATTCCTTTGGGTATATACCCAATAATGGGATTGCTGGGTCAAATGGTATTCCTGCCTTTGAGGAATCACCACGGTCTTCCATAATGGTTGAGCTAATTTACACTCCCATCAACAGTGTGAAGAATTCTTTTTTCTCTGCAACTTGCCAGCATCTGTTGTATTTTTACTTTTTAATAGTAGCCATTCTGACTGGCATGAGATGGTATCTCACTGTGGTTTTGATTTGCATTTCTCTAGTGATCAGTGATGTTGAGCTTTTTTTCATATGTTTGTTGACAGCATGTATGTATTCTTTGAAGAAGTGTCGGTTCATGTCCTTTGTCTACTTTTTAATGGAGTTGTTAGTTTTGTTCTTGTAAATTTGTTTAAGTTCCTACCTGTAGACTCTGGATATTAGACTTTGTCAGATGGATAGTTTGAAAAAATTTTCTCCCATTCTGCAGGTTGTCTTGTTCACTCTGATGATAGTTTCTTTTTTTGTGCTGCTCTTCAGTTTAATTAGATCCCATTTGTCAATTTTTGCTTTTGTTGTAATTGCTTTTGGTGTTTTTGTCATGGTATCATTTAGATTTTCTTCTATATTTTTCATAGTTTTGGGTATTACATTTAAGTCTTTAATCCATCCTGAGTTAATTTTTTTAGATGGTGCAGGGAAGGGATCCAGTTTCAATTTTCTGCATATGGCTAGTCAGTTCTCCTAGCACCTATTAAATAGAGAATCCTTTCCCCATTGCTTGTTTTTGTCAGGTTTGTCAAAGATCAGATGATTGTATGTGTGGTCTTGTTTCTAAGTACTCTATTCTGTTCCATTGGTCTCTGTGTCTGTTCTTGTACCAGTACCATGCAGTTTTGGTTATTGTAGCCTTGTAGTATAGTTTGAAGTCAGGGAGTGTGATGCCTCCAACTTTGTTCTTTTTGCTTAGGATTGTCTTGGCTATTTGGGCTCTTTTTTTTGTTCCATATGAATTTTAAAATAGTTTTCTCTACTTCTGAGCAGTGATTTTAAGGGCAGTGAAATTACTCTTTATGACACTGTAATGGTAGATACATGTCATTACAAATTTTTTGAAATCCATATAACATACAACACCAAGAGTGAACCATAATGTAAAACTACGGACTCTGGGTGATAATGATATATCAGTGCGGGTTCTTCAATTCTAACAAATGTATTTGGTGGTGGAGGGATGTTGATAATGGGAAGGCTATGAATACATGGAGGCAGGAAGTTTACAGGAAATCTCTGTACTTTCCACTCTGTTTTGCTGTGACTCCAAGACTGCTCTATTAAAAAAAAATAAGAAAAAATAAATCTAAGTATCTAAAAATCTAATTTTGCAACTGTAAAAAAAGAGAATGGCTACAATGCATTATAATATATTGAGAAAATAATCTACACTAATACCAAAAAACAAATGACAAAAGTATAATAAAGTTAGAAGAAATGATAGTTATAAAACCATGATTTTGCAAAAATCATATTAAAAATTGACATGGATAAATATTGATGGATATAAAACCTAGGGGTTAAAGTTGGTTGGCAAATAAGAGATTTACATAAGTTCAAATTATTTTCCCATAGATTACTCACTAATTATGAAATGATTAAAAGGTACTTTTATAGCAATAAAATTTAGAAGAAACAGCCTTAACTAAGTGATCAAGATTAATATAACCATGCATGGAACAAACTGCCGTTAAGTGCCTCCTGATATCATACTCTGGGAAAGATACTATATCACATACGTAATATTTCTGCCAAAAACTCAAAAGCATAATTATAAAGAAACAACAGGAAAAACCCAAATTGAGAGAAATACTACAAAACATTGTGTCTGTACTCTTTTAATACACCAAGGTCATAAAACACAAAGAAAAGGGAGGAAATGCTACATATCAAAGGAGAGAAAACATACAATATGACTAAATGTAAACTTCTGCATTGGATCCTGGTTCAGAGGGCAACATTGCTATAAAGGACACTCGGAAGATAATTAGTGAAATAGGAATATAAACTATATTACATGACAGTGATATAGCTATGTTACATTTTAAAAATTTGAGGTGTGGTTATGAGAGAAGGTTTTAGGGATGGAGGGTCATGATTTCTACAATTTACTGTCAAATGTTTCAGCTCCATCCCTTCCCTAAAGAATAAGAATAACAGTAATATATTATATTATCATACTATTATGAATGTATGTCTTGACCATACATTCATATGGTAGTATTAAACTTTTAAAATATTTCCATTAAAAGCCTATTTTGGATTCAGTTTTGGGTTAATTTTGTAGTTTAAGGAACAAATCAAAAACTTTGTGATATTGCATTGTCTACTCAGGACCATAGGTCTTCTTTTCTGTACATCTTTTACCTTCTCCAATAAAGCTTTATAATTTTTTAAAATTATTCTTAGGTACATTATAAGTTATACTGTTTGTGTAGGTAGTACCTTCTTAAAAATTATCTAATTAGTTCTGACAATACATGAAAATGAAGATGATTTTTATATATTCATCTTTTGAACTCTCTAAGTAATTCTAATAACATATCTGTGAATTTCCAGGATAATTCATGCAGACAAGCATATCATTCTGAAAATGCCAGGATTTTTTCTACCTTTGTTTTGTGATCTTATTGTATTCTTAATCTTGGTTTTTATTAACTTATTCAGTTAATTAGGTATTATAGCTCACTGTTTAGACATAGACATGACAGATATCCTTTTTTCTGTTCTTAAATGAACACTTTCAGTGTTCACTATTTAGTAGCATAGTTGCTGTAGGTTTGGGTCAATATCTTTTTGTGAACTTATTTGAAGCTCTCTTATTCTTAGTTTACTTAGAATTCATTTTTATTGTTATGAATGGTTTTAAAATTTATCAATCTTTTTTTTTTCCTTCTGTAAATACTGGAATGGTAGTATTGCATTATTCTTTCATCTGTTAATGTGGTGAATTACCTTAATATTTGTTTCAAAATAATAAAATATATTTGGATGTTTGGAATAAATTCTTCTTAGTCTTGATGAATGTATTATATATTCTGAAATTATATTGAAAATATATCATTTAAGACTTTTGAATTCATAAATAAAATCAGCCAATGGTTTTACTGGCTTAAATTTTTCCTATCTTATTTATTAACAATAGTATATTAGTCCATATTTTTTTTTCTATGTTGTGGATCTTTGATTTTTGAAGACTTAGTAGAACTCATTTGTAAAATTATATGGGCCTGTGGTAATTTTTTTTTAAAGTTATTGTCATGCAAAGATTTAAAGTTTATAAAAGTTATTTGGAGTAGGAATTATATGGGGATTGCAGGTTTATTATTCTCATTTTTGCAGTTGAAGGAATTAAGGTATAAAAATTGGAAGACTTTTCTTATGTTTCTGTGACATTTACATAGAAAACTAGAAATAAAATCAGTCTTCTCACCAAACCAACAACTTCTTGTTCTTCCTCCCCACAATCCCGAATCTGCGGAAGCACACCTGACTAAGTAGAAGCTAAAGCCATTGGTGTTGATGTTATTCTGTTTTCAAGGCCTGACATGAGTATTCTCTCATCACTGAGGCCACAGGAGACCAAAAGTGTCAGCAAGTGATGTCCTTTGGTAGGTATCTCCAAGAAGCATAATTTTGCAAACATGTAAATGCAAAGAACATTTGAAACCTTCTGGAATGCCCAGTTAATCTTTGAATCACCATGCAGGGTTTCTACATTTTTTTCTCTAGGGAAAAGTAGTAATGTCCTAGAAGCCAGAGGGATTTTTATTCTTAAGTCTGTTGCTTTTCCAAGGTCTTCATTTGATTTTATAGTACTCTTGACAGGGACTATGAGGTGGTTGACTGTATTACAGGCAGACTTCAGAGTTTCACTCACTCCTGCCACTTGACAAAAACTCTCTTGAGAGCACAAATGCAAATGTTCTCACTTCAACAGGCAGAGTTTAATCTGCAGCTCTGGTGTGTGGATTCTCCATCATACAGCATGATTCACTAAATCCGTCTTTTGCTATGACTCTAGGGAAGCCATCACTTGTCATTCTGCCCAGTAGAGCATGTTGTAGCACCTGCTTTATATTGTACCTTGCCACAAAGTATCCTCTCTGGTAGAACATCAAACAGTCAAGTATTCCCATTTATCCAGTACTGGGGGTGGGGGGGCGTTCAGAGGGATTATACAGTGAATTGCGCCAAGCTTCAGCTGTGCCAGTAAGGTATTAACTGTGACTACTTTTCTCCTTTTCTTATCACTGAAGAAACAATAATAGAATGAAATATAATAAACAGACAATAAACTTTCCAATTTTAAATGACATTTTCATCCACTGAGAAAACTGAGTTAGGTAAGGTAAATCATAAGGTAAACTTTCACCTAAGAGACAACTTTGCACAAATAATTTTTTAATTCAATTATTTTTAAATTTTCATTTTATTTTAAACTTCCAAAATTTTTGGACTTTATTTTTCCATTTTCTTTATTTTCAGAAACATAATCTGGCATTTTTTATAAAGCAAAAATATCTGAAATACCTAAGTTTTGATATATTTTCGACCATTTAATATTTGTGATAATGCTATGAAAAATGTATTACCATTTCTAATATATAAATTAAGAACTTTAAATTAGGAAAGTTTAAGTATATGCCAAAGGTCATTACAAAGCTAGAGACCTGTCTTTAGTTTGTAGCAGAAACTGTTATCTATCTAAAATCAGTTCCCCACTACACATCATTTCTTTCTGGGAGTAGACTGCAGATGTACTCTTTTTGCCTCTTGTCCCCGGTGCTATTTACTATGTGCTAAGGGAAAGCAATCCTATATTCAGCTGATGGGTAATTTGAATTATCTACGTCTATCACAAGCAGTCAGCCCTCCTGCTCGTTTGTTTTAGTACTGGACATATGGCTGAAATATGGTCTATGCGATACTAAGAAAGATCTGCTAGGGAGGGATTCAGACAACTTTCCTTACTCTTATACAGGGAAACTCAAGGAAGAAGAGTACTCTTCTTTTCTGTTTATAAATAGTAGTCTCTGCATGTGATAACTGCTGTGGAAGCCATTTTGTATCCTGGAGGAGAACCAGCTTGAGAATAAGACCAATTCTCTGAGAATGGCAGAGCCGAAGATATTAATTATTTATGCCTATGAGAGCATCATTAAGTTGCTGAATTGATGAATTTTGGGGATACTCCACTTTAGGCCTTCTTGCTTTTAGGAAAAATTTATTTAACTGTGTTGAAGCCCCCAGAGTCATCCTGACACAGAATTCAGAATGTCTAACTCAAAAGCCAGCAATTCTTCATAGAAATACCACAACAGGTAGCTTCCACAAGTAACCTTTTCTTTTTTTTTTTTTTTTTTGAGATGGAGTCTCGCTGTGTCTCACAGGCTGGAGTGCAGTGGCGCAATCTCTGGCTCACTGCAAGCTCCGCCTGCCGGGTTCACGCCATTCTCCTGCCTCAGCCTCCAGAGTAGCTGGGATTACAGGCGCCTGCCACCACGCCCGGATAAATTTTTCGTATTTTTAGTAGAGACAAGGTTTCACCATGTTAGCCAGGGTGGTCTCGATCTCCTGACCTCGTGATCTGCCCGCCTCGGCCTCCCAAAGTACTGGGATTACAGGCGTGAGCCACTGCACCCGGCCACAAGTAACCATTTTTAACATAATAGTAATAGCTGTCAATTAGAATTAACATTATTTTTTAGAACAGAGTTTACTAATTCAACCTAAATGAGTGGTTTTTGGTTTTTTGGAAGCCCGAAAAACATTAAAGAATAAGAAAACTAACTTCTAGCAGGTAACTGCTCAGACCTTCTGGCTTTTACAGATCCTCTGGTTTTTCAACAGAAGCCTCTAAGTCTAGAATTTTTAAGGTACAGTCTTTTGAGTTTCAAATTTTGGCCACGAATTTATTTATTTTTAATTATTCAAGCCAATCAAAGAATAAGCATGAGCTATATTTGGTCATTTAGCTCTAATTCTGCAACCTCTACCTTTGAAGATTATAGCTCTCATTATATCTATAATTTCATTGTATAATATATGAAATAAAGTGTATGCTTTTTACACTAGCCTTCAAACAAAGATAAACCCACCAGTGCTGAAAATGTTTCTTTATCACTACTTGAACTCCAGCAGAAACTGCACATATTGGATCCAGGGCAAGTTGCATGATTTGTACCCAAGAGGGTGTTTTGTCTTGAAAAATTACTGCATCTTCAGAAATTTCAAGTTTGGATTTTCAAGAAAAATAGTGTTTTCTGTAAAAAGTTTGCTTCGATGACTCCAAAATGCTCCAAAGAATTTTTTCAAGTTGTAGGACTAGATAGCTTATCATAAGATTTTGAAATTCACCTAATGCCAGAGTGAAATGTCACAGGCTTACTGAAGTCTTTAAGGGATAGGCAGAGCTTAAGAATAAATGAACTCAGGAAATGCTTCAGAATTTTATGATTTTAATTTGATATATCTTAGCCTGGAAGTATCCTACTGTGAGAAATGATTTTCTCTCTCTCTTGTTTTTTCTTTTACTTTTTACCTGTATTTTTGCCAATTATTAAAATAATGCATGACTGTTCCAGAACACTTGAAAAGTAGAAGAAAAAAACATAAACGATTAGAATGTAAATTAATAAAATTCCTACCACTCAGAGAAAACTGTGAATACTTTGGCATAATTTCCCTCAATGTACTTATTTTTCTACATTTTTATCTTACCTGTTTGGAATCATATAATCATTTCTGTATCCTGTTTTCCCATTTTAACATAATTGAACCTAGATTGTAGGTCTGAATCTTGAAACCAGCCTAATCTTTAATTATTTTTAGGTAACAATTCATTTATTTCCTCTCTGTCTAGAAGCCTTAGAATATTGTAAATTTACATTTGCAATTCAAAAGTTGTGCTAGAATATACCTTATGCTAACTTTGCCTGGAACTCAGTAAATGCATTTGATTTATAAAAATAATTATCTTCATCACTTCATGACATTTCTTTTAAATACTTTGCTTCTATCTCTATTGTTTTGGGTGCCCTTGGAAATCAGATTCTTAAGTTAAATCTCAGTTGTCTTTTCTCCTAGAGTTTTTGTTCTTTTTAATATTTTAGGGTTTTTATTTGCCATTTGAGACATCTTCAAGTGTTTTGTTGAAAATATTCATTTATTAAAAAGGGAATCCTTTCCCCATTGCTTGTTTTTCTCAGGTTTGTCAAAGATCAGATAGTTGTAGATATGCAGCGTTATTTCTGAGGGCTCTGTTCTGTTCCATTGGTCTATATCTCTGTTTTGGTACCAGTACCATGCTGTTTTGGTTACTGTAGCCTTGTAGTACAGTTTGAAGTCAGGTAGCGTGATGCCTCCAGCTTTGTTCTGTTGGCTTAGGATTGACTTGGCGATGCGGGCTCTTTTTTGCTTCCATATGAAGTTTAAAGTAGTTTTTTCCAATTCTGTGAAGAAAGTCATTGGTAGCGTAATGGGGATGGCATTGAATCTATAAATTACCTTGGGGAGTATGGCCATTTTCACGATATTGATTCTTCCTACCCATGAGCATGGAATGTTCTTCCATTTGTTTGTATCCTTTTTTATTTCTTTGAGCAGTGGTTTGTAGTTCTCCTTGAAGAGGTCCTTCACATCCCTTGTAAGTTGGATTCCTGGTATTTTATTCTCTTTGAAGCAATTGTGAATGTGAGTTCACTCACGATTTGGCTCTCTGTTTGTCTGTTATTGGTGTATAAGAATGCTTGTGATTTTTGCACATTGATTTTGTATCCTGAGACGTTGCTGAAGTTGCTTATCAGCTTAAGGAGATTTTGGGCTGAGACAATGGGGTTTTCTAGATATACAATCAGGTCATCTGCAAACAGGGACAATTTGACTTCCTCTTTTCCTAATTGAATACCCTTTATTTCCTTCTCCTGCGTGACTGCCCTGGCCAGAACTTCCAACACTATGTTGAATGGGAGTGGTGAGAGAAGGCATCCCTGTCTTGTGCCAGTTTTCAAAGGGAATGCTTCCAGTTTTTGTCCATTCAGTATGATATTGGCTGTGGGTTTGTCATAGATAGCTCTTATTATTTTGAGATACATCCCATCAATACCTAATTTATTGAGAGTTTTTAGCATGAAGCGTTGTTGAATTTTGTCAAAGGCCTTTTCTGCATCTATTGAGATAATCATGTGGTTTTTGTCTTTGGTTCTGTTTATATGCTGGATTACCTTTATTGATTTGCATAGATTGAACCAGCCTTGCATCGCAGGGATGAAGCCCACTTGATCATGGTGGATAAGCTTTTTGATGTGCTGCTGGATTCGGTTTGCCCGTATTTTATTGAGGATTTTTGCATCAATGTTCATCAAGGATATTGGTCTAAAATTCTCTTTTTTGGTTGTGTCTCTGCCAGGCTTTGGTATCAGGATGATGCTGGCCTCATAAAATGAGTTAGGGAGGATTCCCTCTTTTTCTATTGATTGGAATAGTTTCAGAAGGAATGGTACCAGTTCATCCTTGTACCTCTGGTAGAATTCAGCTGTGAATCCATCTGGCCCTGGACTCTTTTTCGTTGGTAAGCTATTGATTATTGCCACAATTTCAGAGCCTGTTATTGGTCTATTCAGAGATTCAACTTCTTCCTGCTTTAGTCTTGGGAGGGTGTATGTATCGAGGAATTTATCCATTTCTTCTAGATTTTCTAGTTTGTTTGCATAGAGGTGTTTGTAGTATTCTCTGACGGTAGTTTGTATTTCTGTGGGATCAGTGGTGATATCCCCTTTATCACTTTTTACTGGCTAGCCATATGTAGAAAGCTGAAACTGGATCCCTTCCTTACACCTTATACAAAAATTAATTCAAGATGGATTAAAGACATAAACATTAGACCTAAAACCATAAAAACCCTAGAAGAAAACCTAGGCATTACCATTCAAGACACAGGTATGGGCAAGGACTTGATGTCTAAAACACCAAAAGCAATGGCAACAAAAGCCAAAATTGACAAATGGGATATAATTAAACTAATGAGCTTCTGCACAGCAAAAGAAACTACATCAGAGTGAACAGGCAACCTACAAAATGGGAGAAAATTTTCACAACCTACTCATCTGACAAAGGGCTAATATCCAGAATCTACAATGAACTCAAACAAATTTACAAGAAAAAAACAACCCCATCAAAAAGTGGGCGAAGGACATGAACAGACACTTCTCAAAAGAAGACATTTATGCAGCCAAAAAACACATGAAAAAATGCTCACCATCACTGGCCATCAGAGAAATGCAAATCAAAACCACAATGAGATACCATCTCACACCAGTTAGAATGGCAATCATTAAAAAGTCAGGAAACAACAGGTGCTGGAGAGGATGTGGAGAAATAGGAACACTTTTACACTGTTGGTGGGACTGTAAATTAGTTCAACCATTGTGGAAGTCAGTGTAGCAATTCCTCAGGGATCTAGAACTAGAAATACCATTTGACCCAGCCATCCCATTACTGGGTATATACCCAAAGGATTATAAACCATGCTGCTATAAAGACACATGCACACATATGTTTATTGCGGCACTATTCACAATAGCAAAGACTTGGAACCAACCTAAATGTCCAACAACTATAGACTGGATTAAGAAAATGTGGCACATATACACCATGGAATACTATGCAGCCATAAAAAAGGATGAGTTCATGTCCTTTGTAGGGACATGGATGAAATTGGAAATCATCATTCTCAGTAAACTAGCACAAGAACAAAAAACCAAACACTGCATGTTCTCACTCATAGGTGGGAATTGAACAATGAGAACACATGGACACAGGAAGGGGAACATCACACTCTGGGGACTGTTGTGGGGAGCGGGGAGGGATAGCTTTAGGAGATACACCTAATGCTAAATGACGAGTTAATGGGTGCAACACACCAGCATGGCATGTGTATACATATGTAACTAACCTGCACATTGTGCACATGTGCCCTAAAACTTAAAGTATAATAATAATAAAATTAAAAAAAGAAAATATTGAAACTCTTGGTTCTTTCCCATTTAATATATTTTATAGGCCCAGTTTTATCTCTTTTTATGGTTTATATATCATCATGAAGAAATATTACTTGGAGTAGTGTTTTCTAAAAGGCAAAGTGAAGAGTTTGTCCTTAGGCCCCTCACAGTCCCTATTACCAGCAAGAACAACCTGCTTCTAGTTTTCACCCTGCCCGCTTATCCACTTAGGATATTCTCAGGCAAGTAAGAGTTGTTGCGTGCAATGCAAAACTTTCCGTCTTTGGCCTCTTCTTGCCATGTTACAGGCTGGAAGTTACCATACCTAAATGACACATTGGACGTTTCAGTACTTAGATTTACAGTTGATCATAGCAAGTTGATTGTATGCATTTCTCTTCATGCTCACATGAACAATTAAAACAAAATGAATAAATGAGAAAAGTTAAAGACAGAAAAAATATTATATTCAAGAAGTACTAAGAGACAGTAGTGGATAAGAAATACCAACCAGTTTTGGAAAGCTGAAAGACAGAAAGTAGAGTAGTAATGAGACTGGCAGAGGAGGCTAAAGTCTAAATACTCCCAGAAAGGGATGATAATAAAATTAAGTCTATGCATTAGAGCACTAGAGAGTCTCAGGGAACACTGAAAGCCAGGATGAGGCTTGAGATAGAAAAATGTGGATAAATGATAGAAGAGTAACTCCCAGCACCATACCAACATAATACGATTCCTCCTGTACCCAGCAAGTGTGTTCTTCCTGCTGCACAAACAAAATCAATTCATGGCATTGAAGTAAAGAATTGAATTAACATGAGGCCAGATATGCCACATGGGAGATGGAGTTATCACTCAAATTAATCTCATAGAAAGCTTATAGGTTAGGGGTTTATTAATCAATTATTATTGTGACAGAGTCTCACTCTATCACTCAGGCTGGAGTGCAGTGGTACGATCTCAGCTCACTGTGATCTCCACCACCGGGGTTCAAGTGATTCTCCAGCCTCAGCCTCTTGAGTAATTGGGACTACAGGTGTGCATCACCACACCCAGCTAATTTTTATATTTTTAGTAGAGACAGGGTTTCACCATGTTGGCCAGGCTAGCCTTGAACTCCTGACCTCAAATGATCTGCCTGCCTTGCCCTCCCAAAGTGCCAGGATTACAGGTGTGAGCCGCCATGGCTGGTCAAGGTTAGGGGATTTTAAAGGTAGTTTGTGGGGAGTGGGGAGGGTGTCAAGGCAATGAGTGTTTGCTGCTGACTGGTTGGGTTGGAGATGAAATTATAAACTGAAGCTGTCCCCTTGAGCTGAGTCACTTCTGGGTGGGGCCACAGAAGGGATTGGTGGGTCCAGGGGGGCCACAGGTATTGGACATGGAGAAAAAACCTGAAAAGGTATCCAAAAAGTCCAATCTCAGATTCTACAATAGTGATGTTATCTGCAGGAGTAACTGGAGAAGTTGCATATCTGTGACCTCCAGAATAAAAGCTGGCAATCATTTATATATACACCTTAGCAGAATTCAGGGGCCTCTGTCCTCCTTGTCTGGTGGCCTCTCATTAGCATTACAAAGGCAGTTGAGTTTTGGGGAAGGGGTATTATCATTTAAAATATAAACTAAATGTCTACCAGAATTAGCTTTGCCTAGGAATAATGAAGGACAGCTTCAAGGCTAAAGGCAAGAGGGGTTTGACTCGATCAGATCTCCCACACTGCCAAAATTTTCTCACTGATAACGGTTTTTGCAAAGGCAGTTTCACTCCCAGCCTCTGCAGGAAAACCAGTCTCTTCACTGGAGCAATTAAACGGAAATTTCCTGACTGTAGAGCAGCAGTTACAGAGGAGGGTGTGATGAAGGGCAAGACTGACACTCGGAGATAATGTGGGAAACTTTCTTTATAAATCTTGATGCCCCACATTTCTTCCTCTGTCTATGCTCAGAAAGCAGATAATTAGGCAACTGGAAGATTCTTCTTTAAAGCTATGACCAAGATGATGGCCTTAATGCTTCTATCAGCTGGCTAAGCTTTAAACAGTCCTCTTCCTAACAATACTCCTTATCTCCCATTTCTTCGCACATTTACTTTCAAAAACTTTCAATCGTAAATTCTTTCTCTGCCCTTTTGAACTGTAAATCTTCCACAATCCAGGAATATCTTTCTTAAGGGCCTAGGAGCCATCTCCTTGAAACATGGTCATTGGTAAAGATAGTTCCCCTATATTCGAGTCTCCTTGGGAATGTGGGAGCCTAACTTCCAAGGATGCCAGTTAGCAACAAGAGGTGGCCCAGTCACATAGGCCAGCCTTCTCCCGGTGTCCTCCAGTACTTTTCCGCTAACTCACCTCAATGCTTAAGAACTCTCCCACCTTTTGTTTCAGAGTGTTACTGTAGGTAGTCAGGCAGACATGAGCAGGTCAGGAGAGGGGCCCTACCTACTACTCAGGAAGGATTGTCAGGCAACCATCAGGTGATGATGGACTGGTTATTAGAATTGTCTCTCTAAAATAATTGGTTGCAGCTGGTGCCAGGGAAAGGCGGTCTCCCAACAGATAGAAAAAAACTGAAACTGATGATAAGCAGCTTCCTGATAAGATCTTAGGAGTTGAGCAAGTGGGCTCAAGCATGCACACTAAGAGGCAAAATGGTAGAGTTTAACTGGTATATGACCTTCCTCTAGGATCACACAACTGGTAAGGGAAAGATGCCTCAAGTGAGCATGTGTACAACTTCAGTAAACACTGTGCATGTGTCCCCTCCCAAATGCCGGCAGGCTGCTGCACACGAGGACAGCCCACCCCAAGGGAGGAATCAGGGGAGAAGGGATGAAGCCCCCCTGGAAGTATGCCAATGTATAAAACCCCAAATCAAAGGTGAAACTGTGCATTTGAACTCTCAAGTTGCCTACTTGGCCCTTTTCCCAATTACTTTACTTTCTTTCAGTCCTGCTCTAAAACTTTTTAATAAACTTTCACTGCTGATCCAAAACTTGCCTCAGTCCCTCGCCTTATGTCTCTTGGTTGAATTATTTTTTCTGATGAGGCAAGAATTGAGGTTGCTCCATACCCATATAGATTCGCCACTAGCAAGAGGAGTTTAGTTCCATCTCTTCCTTCTATTACAATAGTCTTGAGTAAAGTCTTACTTATTTCTTCACTTCACTTGAGATAGTTGATGCAGCTTTGTTGTGTGGGGTAAATACCCAGGGTTTGTCGTCTCATGTCAAGAAAATTTAGGACACGGACACACATGAGTAGTTTAGGAGCAGAAGTTTAATTGTCAGAAGAAAGAGAAAGAAGAACAGCTCTCTCTCTCTTTCTAATGAGAGAGGAGCTACCAAAGTGAAAGATCAGCTAATAGCAGAGTCCACTGGATTATATAGGCAGGCTTGAGGAGGCGGTGTCTGCTTTATTTAGGGACCACAGATTGGTTCAATCAGGTATGACATTTACATAGTGCACAGGAAAGGCTGGCCACCCATCCTAATCTTATTATGCATACGGGCTTTGCACTTGACCTGTGACATCTTGTCTGTTCCTTACTGTACATGTGGCTGACAAAAAAGAAGAGAAGATGGAGCCACCATTTTGAATATGCCTAGATAGTATTTATCTGCTGGCCTGCTTCCAGCTTGCTTGTCTATGTCTGCAGCTTAATTTTACAGGCTTCTCTTTGTTAGAAAATGATTTGAGAGCTGCTTTTCATTAAAAAGGAAAACCTTACTGAGGACTTCAGTACCTTCACTATCTGCCTAAGTAATTTCTTCTTAACTCCTATGTTATAGTTTTCCTTTGAGAGCTCAAAGGTCTCCCAGAAAAGACCTGCAGATGCTATAATGTGTGAAGTATTAACTGTTTAATTTTCATACTGCGAGGAGGTCCATTTGTGGCAAAACGTGGTCACATACACATAGCTTCTCATGCATCACTCTTACATATGAACTGGCAGCCAGGCTCATCAACCATTTGTGAAAAGCTTTCATTCAGAATTCAGAAGAAAAGCCCAACAGATCATTGAACTAAGTGGGAGGTGGGTGGGGAGGGAGAGAGAGAATGAATACTGTATACCAAAGTAAGTCAGAGGAGTTATGGAATGAGAGTGTTATCATTTATATTGTTCTGGAAAAGGTTAGGGTATTGATTATAGTGTACTAGTAAGCATGGTAAAATGTCCAGGGTTTAAACTGAAAGAACAAAAATACAGTGGTAACTTTACAAACGGTGTGAGAAAATAAATGAAAGATGATCACAAAAGAGAAAGGATGCTCTGCAACCACTATCCTGCAAAATAAAAAGGGAGAAAATGGAGGAATAAAAGAAAGAAACAAAATAAAACAGACTAAATGGGAGCAAGGAAAACAGTAAAAAATTAAAAAGTCTAGGAGAACCATTATGTACAATAAATATAAACTTGCCAATTAAAAGAGATTGTAAGCCTGTACTTTTTAAAAATAATGGATTTGTGCTATTTAGTAAAGATATACCTAAAATATAAAGTCACAGCAAAGTCAAAAGGACAGAAAAAGATGTGCTAGGTAAATACTAGCCAAAAGAAAGGGGACGCATCTTTGCTTTCCTGTGTCCTCTTTATATGCCACTGACTCAAGTTTATTGGTAGTGCTGCTAAAATATTCTATATCTTGTCAATTTTAATCTTTTATTCTATTAATTACTGAAAAAAGTAGATTACATTTCTGATTATGAAGCTTATTAATATTTTCTTAAAATATTGTCAAGTTTTTTGCTTCATGCATTTTGAGGCTATATTATTAAGTGCCTGGAAATTTAGAAATATTATTCCTTAGTTTTACCTTCTTGTCAAAATGTAGTTAGTCCAATTATTATTAATAAAGTTTGTTTTCATAAAGTTTGTTTGATCTGATATTCATATAGCCACCTTGGCTATATTTTGCTTAGTATTTTCTTGATCTGTCTTTATTCTCCTGTTGCTTCTAATATCTTTCTTTTGACTCTAAGCTCTACAGTTCCACTTATATGTGTCTAAGTGTGTATTTCTTATTATTTATCTCACAATATGTCAGAATCTCTGAATTTGAGAATTTGAGAAGTTCTCAGAAGTTCTTTTTGGACATTGCTTCTCTCTGTGTTCTCTTCTGGAAACAGTTGTATTTTCAGTCTGATTCTTTGCTCTTATTTTTTAGCTTCTCTTGTTCTCCATCTCTTTGTCTTTCTAGGCTCTTTTCCGATGACTTTAATGAGGTTAAACACTTTCTTTTGTTTTGGGTTTTAACTTAAATTTTTTAAGAAATTGATATGATTTGGAGCTGTACCCCCGCTGAAATATCTTGTTGAAGGTCATAATCCCCAGTGCTGGAGGTAAGACCTGGTGGGAGGTGACTGGATCATGGGGGAAGAGTTCTCATGAATGGTTAAGCACCATCCCCTAGGTTCTGTTCTCATGATATGTGAGTGAGTGAGTTCTTGTGAAATCTGGTGGTTTAAAAGTGTGTACCATCTTCCTCTCTCTCTCTTTCTCCTGTTTCAGCCATGTAGGACATAACTGCTTCCCCTTCACCTTCGGTGAAGTGAGTTTCTTGAGGCCTCCCCAGAAGCTGATGCCACTATGCTGCCTGTGCAGCCTGCAGAACCATGAGCCAATTAAATCTCTTTTCTTTATAAATTACCCAGTCTCAGGTATTTCCTTAAAGCAGTATGAGAATAGACTGATATAACATATTAAGCACATATTTAATGTTTGATATTTAGTAACTCAATTATCTAAAATTATTTTCAGCATTTTTTTCTCCTATAGATTCTCATTGATGGTGGCTAGTTTTATGATGTGTTTTTAAAAATCAAATTGTATTTTTAGAATTGGGGAAATCCTATGAGGCCCAAGCTGTTTTGTTATTTATTTTTATTTATTTATTTATTTATTTTTGCTTTTTTTTTTTTTGACAGGAACTCTAAACTATAACTAAACTGTGACCCCTCTTAAGCTCTTTACTTTGGACTTCCTGGATCTTTCCAATACTGTACATTTGAATCCCTAATGGTGAGAAGATCAACTTCTATTATTTTTTCTGGAGAAGACATATAACCCATCCAGATTTGAGGTCAGACAGTTAAATGTCTTTTTGTATGTATGTATGTATGTATTTACTTATTTATTTATTTATTTGCTCATTTATTTTTTGAGACAGGGTCTCGCTCTGTCACCCAGGCTGGAGTGCAGTGGCGTGATCTCAGCCTACTGCAAACTCTACCTCCTTGGTTGAAGAGATTCTCCTGCCTCATCCTCCCATGTAGCTGGGATTACAGGTGTGCACCCCCACACCCAGCTAATTTTGATAATTTTAGTACAGACAGGGTTTCACCATGTTGGCCAGGCTGGTCTCGAACTCCTGACCTCAAGTGATCCGCCCACCTTGGCCTCCCAAAATGCTGGGATTAAAGGCGTGAGCCACCGTGCCCGCTCTACCTGTTTTTCTTTTAAACTGGCAGTTGAGATCTTTTTTTTCCAGGACACCTTCACTGAAGGTAGCTCTTTAAGGCAGCAGGATTCACAATGGTGAAGACTGGCAACATGCTATAGGACAGCTCTAATTTACCTTCACTTTTTCTCTCAGTTCCAGGTCCCCAGAAATATATCCAAGCTCTTGAGGAGCTCTTCTCTGCATTCAAAGGAATATTTGATATTTTATCCGAATATTTCTTGATGTTTGGTAATAGGAGATTTTTTGGAATATTTAGTCCATTATTTAAGTATAAATAGAGGCCAGTCTAATTATTTTTTATATTGAAAGTATAATATATTTAAGAATTTATAATGACTTAATGCACTGAAATATGTTAAAATGGAAATTTAGTAGAAGAAAGTAGAAAGTTTTATTTAGATCCCTCTTAGTGTTATTTGCTAACGATTTTTCTCTTTCTTGTGCATTACATTTTTAAGTAGAAATAATTTCAAGGTTGAAGAAACAAACTGAAAAACAATTAGGCAAAAGATCCACATAGATACCTATTTCAAATAGTTAAAGAGCCTGTGGAAATATATCTGAGAGCCTGAGGTTGACCGTAAAGATGGTAATAAGACAAGATGCTCTGGCCTCAAAGAAAAATAATTCTAAGTACTGTGAGTAAAAAAAAAAAGCTCAAACTTTTTGTGTTTGATGGGGATGGCATTGAATCTATAAATTACCTTGGGCAATATGGCCATTTTCACAATATTGATTCTTCCTACCCATGAGCATGGAATGTTCTTCCATTTGTTTGTATCATCTTTTATTTCATTGAGCAGTGGTTTGTAGTTCTCCTTGAAGAGGTCCTTCACATCCCTTGTAAGTTGGATTCCTAGGTATTTTATTCTCTTTGAAGCAATTGTGAATGGGAGTTCACTCACGATTTGGCCCTCTGTTTGTCTGTTATTGGTGTATAAGAATGCTTGTGATTTTTGCACATTGATTTTGTATCCTGAGATGTTGCTGAAGTTGCTTTATCAGCTTAAGGAGATTTTGGGCTGAGACAATGGGGTTTTCTAGATATACAATCAGGTCATCTGCAAACAGGGACAATTTGACTTCCTCTTTTCCTAATTGAATGCCCTTTATTTCCTTCTCCTGCATGATTGCCCTGGCCAGAACTTCCAACACTATGTTGAATAGGAGTGGTGAGAGAGGGCATCCCTGTCTTGTGCCAGTTTTCAAAGGGAATGCTTCCAGTTTTTGTCCATTCAGTATGATATTGGCTGTGGGTTTGTCATAAATAGCTCTTATTATTTTTGAGATATGTCCCATCAATACCTAATTTATTGAGAGTTTTTAGCATGAAGGGTTGTTGAATTTTGTCAAAGGCCTTTTCTGCATCTATTGAGATAATCATGTGGTTTTTGTCTTTGGTTCTGTTTATATGCTGGATTACCTTTATTGATTTTCATATGTTGAACCAGCCTTGCATCGCAGGGATGAAGCCCACTTGATCATGGTGGATAAGCTTTTTGATGTGCTGCTGGATTCGGTTTGCCAGTATTTTATTGAGGATTTTTGCATCAATGTTCATCAAGGATATTGGTCTAAAATTCTCTTTTTTGGTTGTGTCTCTGCCAGGCTTTGGTATCAGGATGATGCTGGCCTCATAAAATGAGTTAGGGAGGATTCCCTCTTTTTCTATTGATTGGAATAGTTTCAGAAGGAATGGTACCAGTTCATCCTTGTACCTCTGGTAGAATTCGGCTGTGAATCCATCTGGTCCTGGACTCTTTTTCGTTGGTAAGCTATTGATTATTGCCACAATTTCAGAGCCTGTTATTGGTCTATTCAGAGATTCAACTTCTTCCTGGTTTAGTCTTGGGAGGGTGTATGTGTCGAGGATTTTATCCATTTCTTCTAGATTTTCTAGTTTATTTGAGTAGAGGTGTTTATATTATTCTCTGACGGTAGTTTGTATTTCTGTGGGATCGGTGGTGATATCCCCTTTGTCATTTTTTATTTCATCTATTTGATTCTTCTCTCTTTTCTTCTTTATTATTCTTGCTAGCTGTCTATCAATTTTGTTGATCTTTTCAAAAAACCAGCTCCTGGATTCATTGATTTTTTGAAGGGTTTTTTGTGTCTCTATTTCCTTCAGTTCTGCTCTGATCTTAGTTATTTCGTGTCTTCTGCTAGGTTTTGAATGTGTTTGCTCTTGCTTCTCTAGTTCTTTTAATTGTGATGTTAGCGTGTCAATTTTAGATCTTTCCTGCTTTCTCTTGTGGGCATTTAGTGCTATAAATTTCCCTCTACACACTGCTTTGAATGTGTCCCAGAGATTCTGGTGTGTTGTGTCTTTGTTCTCGTTGGTTTCAAAGAACATCTTTATTTCTGCCTTCATTTCGTTATGTACCCAGTAGTCATTCAGGAGCAGGTTGTTCAGTTTCCATGTAGTTGAGTGGTTTTGAGTGAGTTTCTTAATCCTGAGTTCTAGTTTGATTGCCCTGTGGTCTGAGAGACAGTTTGTTATCATTTCTGTTCTTTTACATTTGCTGAGGAGTGCTTTACTTCCAACTATGTGGTCAATTTTGGAATGGGTGTGGTGTGGTGCTGAAAAGAATGTATATTCTGTTGATTTGGGGTGGAGAGTTCTGTAGATGTCTATTAGGTCCGCTTGGTGTAGAGCTGAGTTCAATTCCTGGATATCCTTGTTAACTTTCTGTTTCGTTGATCTGTCTAATGTTGACAGTGGGGTGTTAAAGTCTCCCATTATTATTGTGTGGGAGTCTAAGTCTCTTTGTAGGTCAATAAGGACTTCCTTTATGAATCTGGGTGCTCCTGTATTGGGTGCATATATATTTAGGATAGTATGCAGAATCTACAATGAACTCAAACAAGTTTACAAGAAAAAAACAAACAACCCCATCAAAAAGTGGGCAAAGGATATGAACAGACACTTCTCAAAAGAAGACATTTATGCAGCCAAAAAACACATGAAAAAATGCTCATCATCGCGGCCATCAGAGAAATGCAAATCAAAACCACAATGAGATATCATCTCACACGAGTTAGAATGGTGATCATTAAAAAGTCAGGAAACAACAGATGCTGGAGAGGATGTGGAGAAATAGGAACACTTTTACACTGTTGGTGGGACTGTAAACTAGTTCAACCATTGTGGAAGTCAGTGTAGCAATTCCTCAGGGATCTAGAACTAGAAATACCATTTGACCCAGCCATCCCATTACTGCGTATATACCCAAAGGATTATAAATCATGCTGCTAAAAAGACACATGCACATGTATGTTTATTGCGGCACTATTCACAATAGCAAAGACTTGGAACCAACCCAAATGTCCAACAATGATAGACTAGATTAAGAAAATATGGCACATATACACCATGGAATACTGTGCAGCCATAAAAAATGATGAGTTCATGTCCTTTGTAGGGACATGGATGAAGCTGGAAACCATCATTCTCAGCAAACTATCGCAAGGACAAAAAACCAAACACCGCATGTTCTCACTCATAGGTGGGAATTGAACAATGAGAACACAAGGACACAGGAAGGAGAACATCACACACCGGGGCCTGTTGTGGGGTGGGGAAGCGGGGAGGGATAGCATTAGGGGATATACCTAATGCTAAATGAGGAGTTAATGGGTGCAGCACGCCAACATGGTACATGTGTACATATGTAACAAACCTGCAAGTTGTGCACATGTACCCTAAATCTTAAAGTATAATAATAATAAAATTTTAAAAAAAATTTGTGTCTGACCCTTGGAGCCCCTTTTGTGTTACTATGATATTCTAGAGCCCACTCTGCTCTTCCTGCATTTGTTCCAGATAATGAAATGCTTGTGGTGACTAATCTATCAAGAATAAGAAAACCATCTATTTTAAATGGTACACACTTCTTGGTCTTTATTATTAAGTCGGTTTCTCTAGTCTCTAAACTTATTTTTTTCTATTAGCCCAGATTTCAGTTATTTGTATATTTTTATTAGTATGCCTGCCATACCCAAAATTGGGTAAGGCAGTGATGTTTTTCATTTACATAGTGCATCTTGTTTGTGTGTTGAGATTTGATATTACAAGCAAGATAAGAACATAATTACAAGATAATTTAAAAGAAACTGGCCATACATTTTTTCTCTCTTCCTCCTCCTTTCTGCACTCCCTCTAACCCCCCTGTACTGTAAGACAAGAAAAATGGTGCTTCTCCAGGAAATACCGGGAAGAAGTTACAATGAGAAAGAGTTCAGCAGAAGCAAAACTGAACATATCTCTAACCATTGTTAAGTCTTTAAAATTTGCTGCTAAACCAAACCTAATGGTTTAGATAGACCAACCACTACATCCCTGACATTTCAACGTTCCTTGCAGCCATGGCCATTGCCATGTATCTTTGCATTTCATCCCATCAAAACTCTGAGTATATTTCCATGTCCCTGGTTTTGTATTTGGTTCCGTGACTTGGTTTTGTGGTGTGACATGTGAAAGATATTCAACTAGAACATTATTAGTAGTACCCTGGAATTATACTATGAAAAATGCCAAGCATGAGATGTTTATGTTAAAGCATTCTAACTTGGGAAGAAGGGCAAGCTTTTTATGGGGGCTTTAACGTAAGGGAACCAATCAAAGTTCAACAAAGCTTAGCAGGAAGGGCTAGGCCAAAGTATGATTAATTTTGGAAATGGGAATAGAAAAATTGATCTTATGAATTAGCGGCCTGGATTTTAAATAACTTTCTATTTACTTTTTCACAGGTAAAAGTTAGGGTCATGGTTAACCATTTAACATAGTGTACCACTTAGTCATAGGCATATATTTAATTTAGAAGATATTTTTTGTTAGTCTAGATATTACCATTCTTTGCCTCTTGGACAGCCTTTGATGGGTAACTGGCATAATTCACACCTCTCTTGTCCAAACAATAAAACTCCTTCTATTGAATTTATTTTAATATAAACACATTTTAAATGTACAATTTATTGAAATTCTTTAAAACCAGGGACTATATGAGTCCAGTAAGTATATTTTGATTTGAATTAAAATTCAAGTAATTTATTTCACTGAATCCAATCTAATTATTGGTTTGTGTGAATTTTACCTATGTGAAAAAATTTGAAAGGATATTTGAAAAAAGGAATAAAAGACATATATCTGATGTATCTGATAAAATACTTTAGGAAGTATTTTCAGATTGAAGATGTACATATAACACCTGAAATTATAAAACTACTGAAAGAGAGCATAGGAAAAATACCTGCAGACATTGGTCTAGGCAAAGATTTTATGGCTAATACCTGGAAAACATGAATAATAAAAATTTAAAGAGACAAATGGGACTATATTAAACTAAAAAGCTCTGTATAGCAAAGGAAACAATCAACAGACTGAGGATACATCCTGTTGAATGAGAGAAAACATTTGCAAACTATTCTTCTGATGAGGGACTAATACCTAGATTATGTAAGGAACTCAATACTAAATCAAATAATTCCATTAAAAAGTGGGCCAAGGACATGAACGGACATTTCTCAAAAGAAGACATACAGACGGCCAAGAGGTATATGGAAAAATGCTTAACATCGCTAATCATCAGGGAAATGCAAATCAAAACCACAATGAGATATCATCTTTCCCCAGTTAGAATAGCTATTCTTAAAAAGTCCAAAAATAACAGATGTTGGTGAGGATGTGGGGAAAAGGAAACTCATATGTCGTTAGTAAGAATGTGAATTAGACCAGCCACTATGAAAAACTATAGAGATTTTCCAAAAAGCTAAAAATAGAACCACCGTATGATCCAGCAATTCCACTGCTAGATATGTATCCAAAGGAAAAGAAGTTTGCATACCAAAGGAATACCTATACTTGAATGTTTATTACAGCACCATTCACGAGAGTCAAGATATGTAATCAACCTAAGTATCCACCAAAGGATGAATGAATGAAGAAAATGTGGCACACATACACGATGGAATAGGATTTGGCCATATAAAGGAATGAAATCTTGTCATACGCAGCAACATGGATGAAACTGGGGGTCATTATGTTAAGCAAAATAAGCCAGGCACAGAAAGAAAAATATTGCATGTTCTCATCAGAGATAAAAAATATTTACCTCATAAAGGCATAGAGGAGAATGACAGATACTAGGGGCTTGGAAGGATGAGTAGGTGGGAGGGGGAGGTAGGATAATGAGTACCAACATACACATTAGATAATAGGTATAAGTTCTATGGTTCAACAGCAGAGTAGAGTGACTATAGTTAACAATGTATTGTATAGTTCCAAGTAGCTGGAAGATAGGACTCAAATTGTTTCCAACACACAGAAATGATAAATATTCAAGGTGATGAATACCTCAAATACTCTGTCTTGATCATTATATATTCTGCGCATGTAACAAAAATCACATGTACCCCATAAATATGTAAAATATTATGTATTAATAAAATACACATTAGTTTTCAGTATTCCCAGTGCAGCCTTAAACAAATCAAATGCTTACTGAAGGTGTCCAGTATATTTAGAATGTATAACATATTTTTTTTCTGCCCTCAAGGACTACAATCAAAGTGGGTGGAGTGGAACAGACCATAGATTCTGTGGGAATGCCAAGAGGGAGACTAAACTGTGGGATACAGTAGTCTGAGAATATTTCATTTTATTGGTCACATATATTTTCGTGTGTACAGGAATGTATTACCTTCTTCCCTAATGCAAATACTAATGTCTTCCTATTTTCTCCTTGTCCTTTGCTCACCTTAAATAAATAAGTAGATTTCAGCTAGAGGCATTATCAGTGGGCAACTGATGATAATAAAACATGTATCCTAGAATATAAAATATCCCCCATTTCTTTTTTTTTTTTTTTTTTTTTTTTTTTTTTTTTTTGAGACGGAGTCTCGCTCTGTCGCCCAGGCTGGAGTGCAGTGGCGCGATCTCGGCTCACTGCAAGCTCCGCCTCCCGGGTTCACGCCATTCTCCTGCCTCAGCCTCCCGAGTAGCTGGGACTACAGGCGCCCGCTACCACGCCCGGCTAATTTTTTGTATTTTTAGTAGAGACGGAGTTTCACCGTGTTAGCCAGGATGGTCTCGATCTCCTGACCTCGTGATCCGCCCGCCTCGGCCTCCCAAAGTGCTGGGATTACAGGCGTGAGCCACCGCGCCCGGCCAAAATATCCCCCATTTCTATGGAATAATTCACATTGGTGTTTATAATAAAAATATAAAGAGACAAATGGGACTATATTAAACTAAACAACTCTATAGCAAAGGAAACAATCAATAGAGTGAGAATACATCCTGTTGAGTGACAGAAAACATTTGCAAACTATTCTTCTGACAAGGGACTAATACCTAGAATATGTAAGGAACTCAATACTAAAAAACTCTGTACAGCAAAGGAAACAATCAACAGAGTGAGGGTACATCCTGTTGAATGAGAGAAAATATTTGAGAACGAGTCATTTGACAAGGGACTAATACCTAGCATATGTGAGGAACTCAATGCTAAAACAAACGGGAACTGGATACTACAAAGAAGCTGACAGAACACCTGTTAGTGTGCGGGGCTCATGGCCCAGAAAAAAGGGGGTACCTTTTCCTGCAGTTCTAACTTAATGCTTATAAAAATTGATTGAAGTGTGGATGATAGAAACCCAGAATTATGATCTTTACTGATCCAACAGTGACTATTTAAAATATGCTCTTTATTTTTTGTTTTGTTAACAGAGATAAAGAAAAGACAACAACATGGTCTACCTAGGGCTCTACATAAAGAGTTATTTTTTTAATCCTTTGATTTATTCATGATTTCATTTCTTTTGCATATGGGTTGATGGCTTCAGCTTTCCACAAAAAAAAAAGGAAAAAAAAAGAAAAAGAAAAAAAAAAAGGATATTGAGACCTAAACTCTCTACTAAGTCTTAAAAGTGCTTTTACTTCTATGGTATTGAAAGCAAAAATGAAGTTTGAATAATGAGGTTATCCCATATAGGAAATAAAAATAGGACATTAAAAATTTTTTTTCCAATTTTTTCTTCATATTTAGTTGAACAAAAGTAGACAGTCTGAGTTACATACTTACAAAAGCCAATCTTGTGGCATATATACATTAGCTCCACTATACATACTATCACCCAAAATGTGTCCACAGAAGACTTAACATGAAGTATATATCTTTTGACTTGGAACATTTGTGCTTCTGGTCTTACTGTGGTCTTACCCCATGCTAGAGTTATAATACTATTCCATTATAATGTGACACAATTTGAGTTCTGTCAACCCTTTTATCATCTTTAAGTCAGGAAATCTTCTTGCAATATATTGACATACCAAGTGTCTAAAGAGATTTTATGCAGTGCACTTAGAAAACTGATTTATTTTTAAGAGCAAGCGACCTAGATTTATAATAGACCAAGTGATTGAATGCTAACCATCTCTCCTCACAAGTCATAATGGGCAGTTCATTAATAATGTTTTAAAGAAAATAAAACATGAATTGGGAGAACGTCCAGGATAGAATGTTACTCCAAAGGTTCATGTGTCATTGTCATAGGGAAGGAAAATCTTATAAACCTTTATACTTTTAGTTTTATGTAACAATATATACATATAAAATATATTTTAAGACTGGCTTTTGTAAGTATGTAACTCAGAATGTCTACCTTTGTTCTGGATAACAAACTTAATTTGAAGAAAAAAATGTTTTGGATAACCATTTCATTTTTACTAACAAAAGGTAAACAGCAGATTTTAAATAGCCACTGTTTGATTGGTAAAGATCATAATTCTGGCGTTGAATAATCTGCACCTCAATCAATTTAAAATCATCAGTTACTTGATTCCTATCAAATAAAATTCTTATCAAATGTTTTATTATGAATTACTCTCTTTAACTCCAGTAATGTTTTCTTTTTTTGCCTTGAAATCTATTTTGTCTGTTGTTAATATAGCTTTACCAGTTTATTTTGGTTAGTGTATGTTTTTACTATTCTCTTACTTTCAAACATTCTGTCTTACATGTGGCTCTTGAAATCAGCATACAGTTATATTTCAGTTTTTAAACTTATTTACAAATATTCATCTTCTAAATAGAGCATTGTCTCCATTTACATTTACTGCATTTAATAAAATATTACAGTTCAAATTTACTATCTTGTTCTGGGATTTATATATTTATATTCTTTCATGTTTCATTTTCTCTACTTTTTTTGGATTGATTATGATGTTTTAGCTATAAATTTTTAAAAACATTTCATTTTGTCAGACACATGTATTCATGTAACTACCACTACTGTGAAGATATAGAATTATTCCACCACTACAAAGTATTGTGTTACCCTTTGTGTTACCTTTTATAGTCATATGCAATCCCTTCTTCCCCATCATCCTTATGCTGGGCAACCATTAATCTGTTCTCCATAAAAATTTGTAATTTTAAAAATGTTTTATAAACTGATTTTTATGTGATCTGTAATGTTTGTGAGGGTATCTCTGTATTAGTTTGCTAGGGCTGCCATAAAAAAATAGTGGGTAGCTTAAATAACCGAAATTTCTTTTCTCACAGTTCTGGAGGCTGGAAGTCCAAGATCAAGGTGCTATCAGGGTTGGTTTCGGCTGTGGCCTCTCTTCCTGGCTTGTAGACAGCTATCTTCTCGCAGTGTCCTCACGTGGCCTCTTTGTGTGAAGGTACGATGGTGGGTGCAGAGAGTTTTGTTATTTCTTGGCTCCCAAGGTCCCTACCTGGTCTGCCTTTTCTCTCCACCTTTCAACGTCTTCTGTTCATTTTATATATAATGTCCAGGGATCTTAGCTATACTTAGAGGAAAAAGATAAGTATGTTTACTGCATTAATTATGTTGAATCATTTCATTGCTTTTTTGGCTGGTTTAGAAGTTTTTATTTAGTTACATGGTTAAACTATAGATATTAAGTTTATCAATACTTTTATCCTCTTTCTGGGAAATACAATGACCTTTGAATAGTTTGATCCCACTTATGTATCTACTCCCAACTTGTCCTCATATATTTTAATTTTATACTCGAAAACCCCACAAGTTGTTATTTTTAATGTTTCATATAATGATATTTAGTTTTTTCCACCTTTTTATCACTTCATTTTATTCATTCCTCTTGTATATCATATTCTCCATCTGGGTTTATATTTTCTTTTGCTTCAAGTACGTCGTAAATAATTTCCAGTATGGGTTTATGAGTAGCAAACACTTTCAGTTTCTGTTTGTCTGAAAAAATACATTTTACTGGCATCCTTAAAAGATGATGTTACTGAGTAGAATTAGTTACTTTCTTTCAATATATTGAGTATATTATTCTACTGTTGTTTTTTCTCTTTTTATTTTGGGAGGTTTTCTTTGCTTCCATTTATGCTCCTGTAAAAGTTATCTGTCATATTTCTATGATTGTTTCAAAATGTGGTGTTTGTCTTTGGCATTCTACAGTTTAATTATGATGGGTCCAGGTGTAGATAATATTGTTTTTATTTATTCAGCTTGAGATTCATTGGTATTTTGTGTATGTGGATAGGGATATTTTATTATTCATGGAATAGTCAGCTATTATTCAAACAATGCCCCATTCCTATTTTCCCTCTCTTTTCTTTCTGGAACTCTGTTTTAGTTTATATCCATACTTTTCAATATATTCTTTATGCTTTTTATATGTGCCTATATTTTCCTTTTTATGTTTCTCTATGCTTGCAGCTCACAAATTCTGTCTATATATGTCTGTGACTATATCTCTTTGTCTGTATGACTGCTAAATTTATCCAGTGAGCTTTTAATTTTAATAATTATATTTCTCACTCCTTAAAGTTGCATTTTTATTACTAGATTTCTATTTTATAATTTCCTTAATATGTTAAGTTTGTTTTGTTTCCTTAAATACAGCAAGCATAATATTTTTATAGGTTTTATCTGAAAAACGAAAATATTTGAAATCTTTAGGGATATGTTTCTTTTGTCATATTTGCCATGCTGCCATGTTTAGTTGTCTTTGTGTCAGGTTATCATATGTGAAAATATATTCACTAAATAGATGAAGTACCTTTCTCTAGAGAGAATTGCCGTTTGCATCTGTTATGTAGATTAGGGTATTACTAATTCAAAAGCACCTAATTCCAAGTTTAAGTCTTAAAACTACCTGTTGACTATTAATTTCTAGTATCACACTATGATATTTTAGCCTTTTTGGGTCTCAGATTACTGTGCTAAATTTCCATTATTAGGCTTTACTTTCATGGGTATCAGGTTTAATTTTGGTTCTTCCTGACAGCAAAGATTTTAACACACAAGTTCGAATTTATTAGTATAGGCAAATGCCATCTAGGTAAAAACAGCATTAATACTTGGTTACACCTGGTAGTTTACATTTCCTGTTAGTTTTATCCTAATGATTTCTTATTATCTTTTTATGTCACCTTGCTTTTAAAAAAATGTAAGAAATGTTTCATCCGGTAGTTTAAATTACTTTTGGTAAAGGAGAGGTGGTATGAATAGCTTAGAATGCCGTTACCAGAAAGCAGACATTCTTTTACCCTGTCTCAGGCATCAGCAAATTTCTAAAGTTTGCAACATTAGAAGCATCATTTTATATATTTAGGAAAACTGAACATAATCAGCCTAGGACTTTAAAAGATGAATTAAGTCTTAGAGCTAATCTTCTTACTTGATGCTTCGTGGACTTCATAGCTCTTAGTAACATCCATTTCCAGCTCTTTTGAGGAGACAGGTAGATAGACAGATAGATGTGTGTGTAATATATATATATATATATATATATATATATATATATATATATATATATAAAATGATATTGCTTGGATAATAATAAATGTCTTTTCCCTTTTTTATGCAATGAAAGCAGGTCCTAGAACTTTCAGGAAATATTGCTGACATCATACATATATGAAAATGTGGTTAGATATGGGTGAATTAAATTGGGATGCTTATAGCTAAACATTATCCCAGGAAAAAAAAGGAAACATGTATTACAGTGCAGGAGAAGCACAGCATCAACTGGAAAATTTATGACCTCACTCTTACGTTCTCAACATCAGAGAAAGGTATCACAAAATTTCTAATTTGAAAGGAAATAACAAATTCTTAGGGTGGCAGAGGTTTAGAGAATTTGCCTGAATTTTGTACCACAGTGATTTAAAAAAAAATAGGTGGAAAAACTGCATAAGTTTGGCTTAACAGTAGCTCCCAAGGAGCAGTGCCTGGTAAATGTGGTTCCAAAACTTCCAGCAGGCCATCAGTCATGAAGGGAACAGAAATATTCGGGGGTAAGAGAGAAGAAGAAACTGTCTCAGTGTGGGCCCAAGGGTAGAGTGGAGACATATTTATCCAGAGCCTCACAGGCAGAGTGGAGACATATTTATCCAGAGCCTCACAGGCCAGACACCATACTGGGTGCCAGGGGTATAGCAGCAGCTGAAATATTTTTCACTCTTACAAATTTCCAATCCAACATAGAAGATGATATAAAACAAGATAGTAACTAAATAATTAAGTGTAAAGATGCTACAAAGGAAACACATTTCTTTGCAGGAATTTGGAGAGTTAACTAGGTAGCCTTGACCTATTTTTGTTCTACAAAATTTCACGTTATTTCAATTCTTTTTATCTTTGGTTCCCAAGAATGTCAAATATTCTAAAGACTCCCATTTTTTATCCTTTTCTAAATATGTAAAGATACATGAAAAGGTTGTATGTATATTCACTCTGGAAGGCAGTATGGCATCTGACCTTTTGGCTAATGTCACTAAAATGAACTCTTGATCTATTTCCCCACGGTACAACATATGTGAACACACAGCAAACTTTCACTCAGCCTGGAAAATTCACAATCCAACTTATGAAAGTAGTGCTTGTTTTCTACTAACATAGCTAACCAAATTATATAGTCTACTCTAGATCCAACTCACTTAGGCTTGTTAGAATGTTTCTGTTAGAATCCATTTGTGTTATTTGTGGCAGAAATTTCATGCCATGATGTACTGTGGAAAGAAATAAAAATGACTGAGAGCAAACATATTTTTCCCCTGTCAAATTACCTGAATTTCAAAATAGTTCCACAACACTACAATGTGATCTATTCCCTTTTGTTATCTGATCAGACTGGACCCGAAAGCCTCCAGTATAATAAACTTTTTTCTTATATACCAGCAATTTTGTTATAAACACATTGCTGACTGAAGCCTAAAAGACCCAGGGTTAAAAAATGATCCATGATCTTGCTGTTATGAGAACACAAAATGTATTTTCTGAATTCGGAAAGTCAGTGGCAATGCTGGGCAGTGTTGCTTTAGTAAAATAAAGTGACTCATCTCTTGGAAATCAACTATACCCAAAGATTTGCTTCCTCCAAAATCTTCTAGTTCACAGTCAGGAAACAAGTGATCTTCAGGAAAATCCAAGAAGTCAATTTTCCTATATGCCTGCTTCATGTAGATAACTTCCTATGGATGACTTCAATTTTCTTGCTGATAACTTCTATATCTAAAAATGCTGATAACACATGTACACGTCTAGAGAATACACACAAGGTCACATACATATTAAAAACAAAGTCTTCAGCACAACCTGTAATTCACTGGTCACATGTAGCTGAATGTTCATCAATCTATGGATATTTGTTCCTGTGTTTGTTGCAGTGACAGAAAGGGGAAGAAAAACCCACAATCACCTAGGTTTAGTTTTTTTCTAAATGCTAATAGAATTCTGGGCAAGATTTAAGATTTTGAAAAATATCAGTAATGAAAAAATAAAACTACTAGAAAAGTGACTTCCAGACAAGAGTAATTCATACTTGTATGTCAGAATTAGCTGTTAACTCTTCTCTAGCCCCAGTGCACACTCAAAACATCAATATGTCCTTCTGACTTCCTGGGTAAGGATGCGCTTCAGTTGAAGACTTGGAAGCAATTTTACTTTGACTGTTAAGCAAAGGCATTGAACTTGACGCAGAAAGCTAAAATTGGCAGAAAGATCAAGATGAGCAGAAGTGTGGCAGGGGCCAGTGCCTCCCCACTCCCACTTCAGGCACCTATGGGGCACTCTAAGTAACCAAGGGGAGCTTGCAAAGGGCCTATTGGAGAGGCACTGCATACACCCTATTGTATTGCTTGTCAAATAACCAAAGGGAGAAATTACATCATTTTTCATTAGGGAGCATACATTTGGTTACAATATATATCCCAGGAATTTATTAAAGAATTTCAGTAAAAATAACCTTAGCATATCAATGCTGAGCAAGATATAAAAATACTGCCATATGCCATATATTAGTTAGCATATCAAAGGGCCATATAAAATGAAAGTTTTGGAGTATATTTGGGAATGTTCACTAGAAACTTAAGTACACTTACTACTCTCTGCTATGCTATTTTAAGAAGATAGCACAAAAGGTATTTTACTCAAAGAATTGTGCATTAGGCTATTTTGAAGTTCAGACATCAAGTATTCTTCATATATCAAATGTTAATTATATATTTAATGCCATCTTGAGAATTAATTTATGTAAAAAGTAGCATTTGGCATAATGAATTAGAAATTTTAAGAGTTTTATGATAACATGAATATATACTTAGCTGTAGTATGATGAAATAGTATTGAATGACATTCGTCAGAGTTATATGCACAATATAATCATACTCACTCATGCTAGTAAATAAAGACCATGCAGAACTTCTCATTGGGGGAGAAGTGTCATCCAAAGAGGTCTTCTAATTTCACTATCCCATCAATCTCTCTACATGCATACAAATGTTATCAAACTATTCTGTGGAATAAAAACTGATATCATGCAGGGAATCGGTAACTGGCTTAAAAATGAAACCATTAATTAAAGTCAGAAACCAGGCTTCCAAATGATCACTCAAGGCTCAGATTATGTAAAATTCCTCACGGTGTGTTTTGAGTATGTGATATTTAATATGTGCAACCTCTGTTCAAGACCTTCAGTTTAGAAAACTGCAATCATTTCATTTTAAAGCCCTCACAATATATAAAACTATATATACACACTGTATTTACTCTTTCAGACATGTTTATTCTCAGCTGATATGACCAAGAATCATGATCTTTTTTATTTTTTTTATTTTTTGAGACAGTCTCCCTCTGTCACCTAGGCTGGATTACAGTGGTGTAATCCTGGATCACTGCAACCTCCGCCTTCAACCACCGCCTGCAACCTCCGCCTCCTAGGTTCAAGCAAGTTTCATGCCTCAGCCTCCCTAATAGCTGGGACTACAGGCATGCACCACCACACCCGGCTAATTTTTGTGTTTTTTTTTTTTTTATTATACTTTAAGTTTTAGGGTACATGTGCACATTGTGCAGGTTACATATATATACATGTGCCATGCTGGCACGCTGCACCCACTAACTCGTCATCTAGCATTAGGTATATCTCCCAATGCTATCCCTCCCCCCTCCCACCACCCCACAACAGTCCCCAGAGTGTGATATTCCCCTTCCTGTGTCCATGTGATCTCATTGTTCAATTCCCACCTATGAGTGAGAATATGCGGTGTTTGGTTTTTTGTTCTTGCGATAGTTTACTGAGAATGATGATTTCCAATTTCATCCATGTCCCTACAAAGGACATGAACTCATCCTTTTTTATGGCTGCATAGTATTCCATGGTGTATATGTGCCACATTTTCTTAATCCAGTCTATGATTGTTGGACATTTGGGTTGGTTCCAAGTCTTTGCTATTGTGAATAATGCCGCAATAAACATATGTGTGCATGTGTCTTTATAGCAGCATGATTTACAGTCCTTTGGGTATATACCCAGTAATGGGATGGCTGGGTCAAATGGTATTTCTAGTTCTAGGTCCCTGAGGAATCGCCACACTGACTTCCACAATGGTTGAACTAGTTTACAGTCCCAACCAACAGTGTAAAAGTGTTCCTATTTCTCCACATCCTCTCCAGCACCTGTTACTGAGAAAAACAAGCAATGGGGAAAGGATTCCCTATTTAATAAATGGTGCTGGGAAAACTGGCTAGCCATATGTAGAAAGCTGAAACTGGATCCCTTCCTTACACCTTATACAAAAATCAATTCAAGATGGATTAAAGATTTAAGCGTTAGACCTAAAACCATAAAAACCCTAGAAGAAAACCTAGGCATTACCATTCAGGACATAGGCATGGGCAAGGACTTCATGTCCAAAACACCAAAAGCAATGGCAACAAAAGACAAAATTGACAAATGGGATCTAATTAAACTAAAGAGCTTCTGCACAGCAAAAGAAACTACCATCAGAGTGAACAGGCAACCTACAACATGGGAGAAAATTTTCGCAACCTACTCATCTGACAAAGGGCTAATATCCAGAATCTACAATGAACTCAAACAAATTTACAAGAAAAAAACAAACAACCCCATGAAAAAGTGGGCGAAGGACATGAACAGACACTTCTCAAAAGAAGACATTTATGCAGCCAAAAAACACATGAAAAAATGCTCATCATCACTGGCCATCAGAGAAATGCAAATCAAAACCACTGTGAGATATCATCTCACACCAGTTAGAATGGCAATCATTAAAAAGTCAGGAATTTTTGTGTTTTTAGTAGAGACTGAGTTTCACCATGTTGGCCAGGTTGGTCTCAAGCTCCTGACCTTGAGTCATCCGTCCACCTTGGCCTCTCAGAGTGCTGGGTTTACAGGCGTGAGCCACTGTGCCCAGCCCATGATCTCTTGAATGACTTTATGAATTTTATTATTTTAAAATAATTTATTGAGAAAATCACTAGGGCAGTACAAAGACTTACATTTTATTACATGTTGCCATTCAGGTCTCAGTTTCCACATAGATAAATAATTGTCCTAATCATTAAAGTTGTTGTTCAGAATTGAATATAAAATGTATCCAAAAGTATTTGGGGCACTATAAATTGTTGAATGGATATGGCCATTACTATATATAGCATTGGATCCGTAAGACTGATGCTGTCACAAAATAAGTATTTTGTTTAGTTTTTCACATGAGGTTAATGTAGACACATGTTCAAAATATCTTTAAATGGATACATTTCTCAGGTCTTTGCTCCAGATTAAGTTTCTCCAGCTGCTATCCTTGTACTTGACCCTGATTTATCCAAATCCCTTCTCTTATATTTAAACTCTAGGAATTCTCCTGTGTTAATGGTAAAGGCCAATTGCTTTGGAAAGCAGTTTTTAACCTCTCCAGCTGGACTGCATAAATTGATTAAGTATGTATTTACTGAGAAGCTACATTGTGTTTGACTCTGTGGCCATGCTATGTATTCTTTTTCTGACCTTCCTTAGCATGTTTTCCTTAGGGAACATGTCCTTTTTACCCCCAGCTATTTACTACAGCATATCTCATCTCTTGCTTTAGTATATAAGCTCTTGAAAGCCAGACTATGTTTGATTTATGTTTCTATTTGATGAACACCTTTTTCAGTACTTCATAATGCATACTTGATAGAAAGTTCCTGAAAGTATCAATGAATGAATGAATATATGAATGTAATTCTTAGCTTAATTTTCTCTGATATTTTTGCCTCCAAGCAGTGTTCTGTTTATTTTTACACATTCTCTGACATATTATAGTAACACTCTTAAAATATATATTAGCCTCATGCAATACAAAATACATCTTTGCTATGGTACTTTTTATAATTAAAATAAGTTTTCTTTCTTTCTGACAATATTCCTTTGTTCCAGCAATACCATGTTCCAGGTTTTTCTTTCTTGGACTACGCTTTAAATGTCAATATTTCTTAGGATTTTATCTTTGGAATTTCTTTTCTTTCTCCACAGTTTTCTCTGAAAGGTTTCACCCATTTCCGTGGTCATACTACATTTATTTGAGAATGAATTTCAAATCTCTAGTTCAAATTCAGATTCTCTCTTAAATCTTCTATCTGCTTATCCAACTACATATGGTACGGGATCACTTAGCTAACGTAAGGACCCTGCTACTCAAAATATCTCCCAGGGAATGTTCAAACACACCCACCACTCACCCAAGACAGATACCTGGGTATTCTTTCCAACTCTGTCTTTTTTTCCTTCCCATACCTGTAATGTTAATCTGATCATCAATGTATCTCTGCAATCCGTTTACCTTACTGTACTCTTAATATCATTTTACTACTTAAAGCCATTATCATCTCCTTCAAAGTTCATTAATGTCTGCCAACTATAATATTGTTTTTCTATATTACAGACCTTGCTTCCTTGCCCATTCACCACTCTAGAGCTGAGGGCATTTTCCAAAAAAACACATCTTGTTCTCTCATAGCTACATCTGGAACTCTGCCTACTCCAGGCTCCACTCCCTCACCCCACCCACCCAATAGTGATGGTGGACTAACTATTTTCTCCCCATCTTTCAGATCTAAACCCCACATCACTCTTTCAGATCTAAACCCCAGAAAGTACTCTTAAGTACTTTCTGAGTACATTCTGGGTACATTGATTTCTTTCATCATAATATTTATAAACATAGCTCAAGTTCTTAAAGCTACTTCCTGTCCATTATTACCCTTATTTATAAACCCTTCTAATCTTATTTCTGACTTTTATATTCACTTCATGTTTTTTTTCTCTTAAAACATTTATTGTCACTTCGTGGTATTAACACTTCATTATATTTGGAGGTTAGTTTGTATAGTTATTTGCTCACTCCTTGCTTATATATAGATATCTTATTTCCCACCTTTTAAAAACAGATGTTTATGTGAGCAGACTCTCATACATTGTTAATTATTTGTTTTGATTAGCATGAAATGTATTTGTTTATAATTTCAGGACTTCGCTATTTTAACATTTTATAAAAGGGTATTCTTAAAATAATGATGGATATTCCAAGTGAGGAAATGGCCTTACATTTCTGCTACAGAGTTTTCTTAGACATCAAGAATAAATTTTAATTGTAGAGTAATTTTAACTTCTCAAGTTAATCCATTCTAGAATTTAGAATCTCCATTGATGTATAATCTTATGCAGTGAAGGAACCCTTGTTCATTTCCCTGAGACGAATTCATGATCATTTGCTTTACCTCTTGGCATTTTATAGTATGATCTTATGCAGTTATATAGATTCAGAATAATTCGCACAAGTATGCATGGCTAAACATGACTTAAAGTGAGCATTTGCATGGTATTTCCTTTAGTGGTTAGTTTAGGCCAAACCTTCTCTGTTGTCTTGAATAATTCAATGATCTTTTTTTTTCTTCTTTCCAGAAGAAAAATGAGAGAGGTGATTCAAGCTGAGGTAGGCTAGGCATTTCCAATTGACAGCTGTAACCTTGTATAACTAAATCCATCAGAAGTATCCTGTTACAGATATAGTGCCGAATGTTTCATATCCTTTTTTGTAAAAAAGGTCAGTGTGTCCAATTCATAGTATCTTAGATCCCAAGGGAGGTGTGTAATGTTATTCTCCATCTAGTAAAATGTATTAAGACTGTTTATTGAAACATAGTACAGGGGCTCAACCTTTTTTGACTTCTTAGAAAACTTTATGTGGAGACAGAGTAGGAAAATGCCTATTAAACCAAAAGTAACTAGAACACATCTGTCAGGTTTACGCATTTTGTGTGTTATATTTTCTAATATATGTGGATTTGGAACTATTTAGAGAGATGAAAGAAAAGTAAAATATCTTCATCCTGGTTCAGTAACTGATTACTATATAAAAGTGATGTAACATACATATACTTAGAATAAAAATTATGTCTTAGTAAATTTCTGAATTGACTGTATTTGATAAGACATGATTAAATCTAAAGAGTTGGATTGACAGATGATTTCCATTTTAAGTGAAGGAAGTTATATACATTCTATAACAGCAAAGCCTTAAAACAAAAATACTCCCTTAAAAAATATAAAATCAATCACAAGATCATGAAGATAGTTTTCAAGTTTCTTTGTTATGTATACACGAAACACTCAAAGTCAAAACGCTATTTTAAACTCGTAAGGAAAGTCGGGACAAAAGAAATACTGTTTTGAATCTCTACAGAGGGAATTCAGGAGGATCAAGATAACAAAAATAACTGAAGGCAGCATTGCTGACATAAAATCAGCATTATGTTCTGCAAGGCAGCCGTGCCCTTGAAAACACAGCTTGGATTAGCTGTAACTATTGCGGGGTGAATAACATAATCTTGAAAAGAACATATATGTATATATCTTATAGACATTCTTATAGGAGTGCTGGTTATAATTAAGTGTTATCAACATGTGAGGCTGAAAATGCAGTCCATGTAAAGCAGTAGAGATATGCTTCTCAGAATCTGTCTCTTCACTTTGTTAGTCATCCTTATTAAAAAAAAAAAAAAAAAGAGGAATTGGGAAAAAATAAATTTCTAAATCTTCTCCCAAAATAAGATTGTTATATCTGCTGTAATAAATCTGATAGCCCTTATAAAATTTTGGCATGTTAAAGTGGAAAAATATATAATAAAATGTTGTATTTGCTCCAGGCACATCTTTTACATTCATCTTTATTTTTAAAAACAAACTTTCAAAGTTTCATTTTGTGCTATACGTTCCCCATTTAAGTTTGTTCCAGTGCTCTAAATTAGTTAATGTGACCCTACATGGTCTGTATTTTTCTTTTTTACAGTACAGAAAATTAATAGCTAGAAACTAGAAGACTTACCATGTTCTAGACAAAATTCTGAGTACTCCACAGGCAATTTGAGTCCAGAGCCCCCAGCCTTAAATACCATGCTGTAAATGTCATTGCTTGTTTGGGATTTGTGGTTTCTCCCATTTTTGTGATACATATTCTGTACATATTGTGAGGCTTGTTCAAGAGTGAAAGTCATTTGATTTGGGAGTGAACCTAGAGTTCAAAGAGTAATTTTTTTTTTTTTTTTGGTCTGTTTCTTATTAAGTATATGGGAGTTCCCATGACCTGATAAACTGTGTGTGTGTGTGTGTGTGTGTGTGTGTGTGTGTGTGTGTGTTTCCCCATACTTTGCGTAGGATAGTTCAGGCAAGAGAAATAACTGCATTTGTTGCTAGTGCAAATTTTCAAAAAGGAAAGAGGTCAGAGAAGTGATCATTTCTAGCTAAAATGGTTTTGTATTTTAAAATAATGAACTGTCTGAAGACCTTTTTAGCATTTATATTTTATCACATTTTATGGAAGGTAAAATGAACCATAAGTGGCATTTGAAAATGTTGTGAAACTTGAAGCTCTTATTGTTATCAAGGTTATTCTTCCTCAAGCCACTTTCTATTTACTCTCAAGCGAGTCATGTCAAGCTCTGCTTTTTTATTTTTGTCACCATCATTTGGGTCTTCCAGTGTCCTTCAGTTTTTCAAATCCTATCTATCTTCAAGTCCCAGGCTTAATGCCCAGTGCTTTAGGAAAGAACTTCTATAACTAAGGATCTTTTCATTTTTAATTAAGACCTCTTTCTCTGACTGTTTGTTACAACATTTGTTAATTGCTGTTTATTAAAACACACCTGTAATCCCAGCACTTTGGGAGGCCGAGATGGGCAGATCACCTGAGGTCAGAATTTCGACACCAGCCTGGCCAACATGGTGAAACTCTGTCTCTACTAAAAATACAAAAATTAGCTGGGCATGGTGGCAGGCACCTGTAACCCCAGCTACTGAGGAGGCTGAGGCAGGAGAATCGCTTGAACCCAGGAGGCAGAGGTTGCAGTGAGCTTGGGTTGCACCACTGCACTCTAGCCTGGGTGACAAGACTGAGACTTCGTCTCAAAAACAAACAAACAACAACAACAAAAAGTTTACCAGGTATGTGTGTGCGTGCATGTGATTCTGTATTGATTTCTACTTTCTTCTTCCTCATATTGTATATTTTTTCTTCTACACCGAGGGTTGGGATGTTGCTGGTAATCTATAAATGTTTTTAACTGATTGATTTATAAAGCAAGTAGAACTTGAGTTACCCATTTCAGTGAATTATATTTCAGTGAGTCAAGATAAATTGTACCAAGGTCAAAGGAACTTACACTTTAAATTCAACATGGTCTTCATATTCAACAAGAGCTTTGCCTTGACCTTTCCTTGTAATTGCCTGAAGACGTACTCAGGGATTATGTGGTTCACTCTGAGGCATTCTACCTTGGGGTCTCATAAATCATGGATCTTCAGAATAAAGCACTACAAAAATAAAAGTTTGCCACTCTCTTGTTTTTTTTAAAGTACAGTGACTGAGTGATTCTGCCCCAGATTGGAGTGGGTACGCTTCTGTGAGCAGTGTATATTAGGTCACCGGATGAGGAGGATGCAGGACCAAGCCGAAACTAGATTATGACAGTGGACCTGGCAGTAGGAGGGAGATTAAGACTGTGGCTACAGAAGCTGGGCCCTCAGAGACAGAGGAATGACCTGAGCAGTACTAAGTCTTGGTCTCTAGACCTGAAACACTTAACTGATTCTGCAGCCATCAGGCAGGTGTAATGAAGCAGCTTGAAATTCAGTATTAGCTAACTAATCCAGGGCAATTGATTAACTAGGCAAATGTGACAGAACCCCGATGAGGACTAGTGGTAGGAAGGGGGGCCACTGGCTGGATTCTGGCACGGTATATAAGTCCTAGCTTACGGTTCCTGAGGGGAGAGGGGGAAATGCTAACTAACCCTGTGTCTTAGCCAGGTATCTCCCCAGGAAGCAGAGCCGGAGACAAGCAGGTAATTTATTTTTGGAAAGTGACTTTTGGAACAAGAGTGGAATAGAGCAGAGGAGGAAAAACCAATACAAGGTTGTATATTCTGTTGGTCGCTGCTTTTGGCAATTGGGTCTCAATCTTGCAAACATCTTTGGAGGAGCCTCAGAATTGTCTCCTAGTGGTGTGAAGAAGGGGATAATTTATCCATGGGCTTTCATTTGTACTTCCAGGGCATTTCTACTGGGCAGATTTCCGCAACTTGGCTCTCCACTGACTTAGAGAAGTCCCAAGGCAATAATATAAAATACTTGGGACAGTTGTGGCAAAATACTATCAGCTTATATTAGCATTGCTTAAGAGGATATGAGAGAGGTATACGAGGTCATTTATTTATAAGGGAACTTAAAAGGATAAATAAAACATCATTTTAAAGATTAAGCCAGTGTAAGGAATCAATACAAAAGAGAGAGATGGGAAAGAGAAAAAAGTAAGATTTGGAGGATGGATGGAATGTGAGTGGTATGTAGAGTTCTAAAATGAAGCCCAAACTTCTCATTCCCTGGAGTATTGCTGTATCACTTAACCTCCTAGAGTGTAGACAAGACCTATGAACATGAAAGTCACTCCCTTCATGAGGTCATAGTATATGGCAAAGGTGAGGGATAGTCATCCAGTGATTGTAACGATGTTCTGTGATGTAAAGGGACTCTATCTTATGAGACTGGAGAGTTAGATTTCCCTGCAGGCTTTGAAGAAGTAAGTTATAAGAGGAACACATGACTAGGATGATCAGGGCTAAGAGTGGCCGGTAAGAAAATGGAGGCTTCAGTCCTACAACTGCAAAGAACCAAATTCTGTCAACAATCTGAGTGGACTTGGAGGAGGACCCCAAACTCCAGATGAGAACACAGCCTGTCCACTGCCTTGATTTCAGCCTCGTGAGATCCTTAACAAGCAAATACTCTAGCTACCCTAAGCCTGAAATACTGACCCATAGAAACTGTGAGCTAATAAATGGGTTTTCTTATAAACTGCTGTATGTGGTGATTTGTTATACATCATGAGAAAAACAATACAACATGTAATGACCTTTTCAGCATTTTATTTTTGAGGCACTGATTCAGGCTTAAACTGTCAGGAAAGCATGATAACATGAAGCAAATTAGAAATTAGCATCTGGAAACCAGTTCAGACATGATTAAGGAGGGCAGGCCATTCTGTGTGGTGACTAGAGCCCAGATTCTAGAATCAGACTTCCAGAGTTTGAATCCCAACTTTAACAATTAAAAAAAAAAAAAACTCTTTTGCCATGGGAAAATTGCATAATCTTTCTCTGTTATACAGTTTTCTCATTTGGAAAATAGTAGCACCCACATCACAAGCATAAATCAGAATTAAATGGGATAAATAAATGAGTTAATACGTTAAATAAGAATTAAATGAGATAAAACACAAAGATATTTACAACAGTGTCTTTCAAACTGGAAGTGTCAATAAATTAGCCATTATTTAGGGAAAATTTAAAAAATCCATTCAGATAGTCCAGGTAGGAAATGAAGGGGGAATGATGGTGGGGACAGAGAAAGAAGTCGCAAAAGTAGAGATGACAGTTATTCTTAAAGGAAAGTGATGAATAAGAAATGTACATAACTAACATTGAGCATTGTTATGGGTTGAATTTTGCCCCCTCACAAATTCTTATGTGGAGGTCTTAACCTTCGCTATCTTAACTAGATCTATCTTAAGAACAAATTCTTATGTTGAGGTCTTAACCTTCACTATCTTCCAATGTGTTTGTATGTAAGATAGTACCTTTAAAGGGGTGGTTAAGTTAAACTAGGGACTCTAAGTTAGCATGGACTCTAATGCAGTCTGACTGGTGTCCTTCTAAGAGGAACTTTGGGCACACAGAGACACCGGGATGCCTATGCACAGAGGAAAGTCCTGATGAGGACAGAGAGAAAGCAAGCCAAGGAGATAGGCCTAAAAAAGGTTTAGGAGATGGCTGCCTTCTGCTGGTCCTGTTGACACCTTGATCCTGCGCTTCTAGTTTCCAGACTCTGAGAAAATAAATTTCTGTTGTTTAAGCTACCTCGTGTATGTTATTTCATTATGACAGCCAAACTGACTTATACAAGGGTATACTATTTGTTTCCTATTTTGCCTCCCTAGATCCACTCTTCACGTGCCTTCACCCTGCTCTGTCCAACAGGATGCTGCCCTTCCCTGCTTTAGTTCAGAATTTCTGGTGGGCATCAAGGGTCCAGCTTGTACTGGACTCCTATACCCTGTGTCTTTTCCTTGCCCCCTTAACAATGAGATTAGAAAAGGTCTTTCGCTTTTTTGAGTTTCTTAGTGCCTCAACCTCCCAGATTTGTTTCCTTAAAACAGTCCATACCATCTGAGGTGAGTTCTGCTTCCTGTCAGGACCTGAATGAGGTGGGGGGAGCTTAGATAAATGGACAAAAGTGGTGAGCAGAGAATATGAAGGTAAAATACCATTTGGGAAAAATGTGTTTAACCAAAGGGTATAATTGTCTCAAACTAGAACAACTGAAGTAAGGAGTTTATTAGCTGATCTAATCAGCCCCGGGGAGGCAGTAGATTGAGGCGGCAAAAAGAGTTCACCTCCACTCCCCCATCCCACATTACTCCCTAGATTATCTCATAATAGCAAAGTTTTAAATTTCATCTATATAGTGAGAACTCATATGGGTCAGGGTTCATAGCAGCAAACAATGAAACATTTAGATACTTCCAGGGAAAAATAATTATAGATTATGTAGTACTTAAGGAATCATCTGTGGGACCTGAGAACCAGGATTGCAGGCTGCCCAGATGCCCTAAACTACCCAGCTGGCCACATCTGCGCTTACACTGCCATCCTTGCAGGCATTCTGGGTCTGTCTCAGAGCCTCTAGAAAACTGATGTCTCCACTACTACCCTTGCCTGAGTAGACATCACTCAGCATTTGCCTTCTCTGTCAGGAGCAGTTGTGTAGTTTGGAGTTCCCTTTATTCTTCCAGCAACCCAAGTTCATTTTCCCTTTGCAGCTTTTATATCTACAGTGATGATTAATTTTATGTGTTAACTTGGTTGGGTCATGTGTGTCCAGATATTTGGCCAGATATCACTCTGTGTGGATCTGCAAGGTGTTTCTGGATGAGGTAAACATTTAAGTTGGGAGACTGGGTAAAGCAGATTGCTCTCCATAATGCGAGTGGCCTTCATTCAGTCAGTTGAAGTCCTGAATAGTGAAAAAAGGCTGAGCCTCCCCTGAGTAAAAGAGAATTCCTCCTGCCTGGCATCCTCTGAACTGGGACACTGGCTTTTTTTCCTGCCTTCAGACTAGAACTGAAACATGAGTTCTTCCAAGGTGTTGAGACTGCCAGCCTATGGACTAGAGATACATGGTTGATGCTCCTGGTTCTCAGGCCTATGGACTTGGGTTGGAGCTACACCATTAGCTCTGCAGGTCTCCAGCTTGTCAATTCACCCTTCAGAGCTTAGGACTTGCCAGCCTCCATAATCAGTGAGTCAGTTTCTTATAGTAAATCTGTTGTCTGTCTAATCTATCATCTATCCATGTATCCACACCCTATCAGTTCTGTGTTTGTAAAGGTTCCTGACTAATACCTGTACCATTTCTTCTATCTAGACTGCCTTTTTCCTTTTCTTGGCCTGACTCACTCATTTAAATCCTTTAAGTCTTAGCTCAAATATTACTTCCTCAAAGAATCTGTCCCTGAACACCTTAACTAATATTTACTACTTATGCTATGACCCTCCATCCCTTTATCCTATATTTTTCAATAGAAGTTACCACTATCTGAAACCATATAACTTAATTATCTTTTAATTATATTTTCTTTAGAACCCCTTAATACTTAAGCTCCATTAGATGAGTTCTAATCAATTAGATTAGGGTTCTTCTCCATCTTGCTCATTTATGTTTTCCTATCCCTGAGAATTGTGCCTGGCATAAATAGATGCCCCCAATACTTTTATGAATGAATAATTGAAGTACTCAAGAGGCCCAAATGAGAAAATGTCTAACCCTGGTCAGCTGGCAAAGGATGAGAGAAAAGGCTTCTCTCAGTAGCAACATTTGAATTAGATCTTGAAGAATGAGGAATTTTTCAGACAGGGATAGAACGATATCAGGCAGAAAGCAACACTTGTACAGAAGTGATGAAAAGCTTGGAGCGAGCTGCATGATGAGCATCTCAGAGTGGTAGGAGCAGAACAGCACATACGTGGTAGGAGTGGCACCCAAGAATCTAAAGGCAGGTGGCATTCAGATTGTCAAAGTTCACCAAATTCAGAGTTTATTTGCTTGGCACTGGAAAAAAAAGTTGAAACTCTTTAAAACAGGCTGATATGTCAGACTTGTTTTAAGGCAGTGATTCTCTAAGTGTGGCCTGTGGCCCCTGGGGGTTCCTGAGACACATTTGGGAAATTGTGTCCTCACTTTGCCTGGCTTTGTGTTATCTGGGGTAAAAATCTCTGATATGCATGAGTTTCAGTTAATAAGGTAACATACCAAGGGTGAGGACTGTTTGTATATAGTAAATATTGATATGATGTACCCCACATGAAATTAGTTAGGGTCCTCAATAATTTTTAAGAGCATGAAGTGATGCAGATACCAAATTTTGAGATCTACTGTTAAAAGAAAAATATCTGGAAGAGTAACTGAGATGAGCACAGCCTGTTTGTAAGGAAAATAGACAGGAGGCTGCTGGGCCACTTCCCTTCTCCACAGAATGAAAACAGAAGTGTTAACTGCTGCTACGGGGATGAAAGGGAAAGCTAGGATTTGAGAGATTGAGAACATTGAATTCATAGAAATTTATTATTAGTGTCTGAGTTCACTATATATATTTTTTGATCCAGGGTCTCACTATATGGCTCAAGCTGGTCTTGAACTCTTGGTCTCAAGTAATCCTCCTGGCTATGTCTCCCAAGTAGCTGGGATTACAGGCATGAGCTACTGCACACAGCATGTCTGAGTTTTTTAAGCTGGGCTCTTAGGTGGATGATCATAATGCCGTCAACTCAGAAAACCATACACACGCACACACACACACACACATACACACACACACACACGCACACGCTTTTTTTTTTCACTTCCTTCTTACAAGGTTTTCAACATATTGAGCCTAACATTATTTTTGTGATCCAGCTACTAAACTTGCTAAGGCCTCTCTTGAAGGAATATTGGATTGCAACACCAACTCATCTGAAAGACTCTCTTGCTGTGTGTGCCCAAGACTTTTAATCTGGTGCTAATTTGAACCATTTGTATTTTTCCCCTTTTTACTGGATAATTTTATGGATGTGGTTATTTATACGAAGTTTTTTAAAAACATAACTGTGATTTTTAAAATATTAGAACAGTGTTTGTAAGCATATTTTAAAAGGAAAGGTTAAAATTATTGTGTGACATGAGCCAGACAGTAATGGATCTATGGGTGTTGTTTTTCCCCCAACAAAGAAAACCAGGGTTTTTGATCTACAATCTTCAGTCTCAGTCACAGTCTGTTGCAACCGTCAGAGTATTTGTCCCAGAAGACCCCGTTCCCACGCTTCCTCTGGCCATCTGGAACAGACTTTCTGTACCTAATTGACTCCATGATTCCTCTTTCCTATTTCAGAGCTTCCTGTTTCTGCTTTTCTATTTCTGACCTCTCACCTTCCTTCTAATAAAATAATCACACTCTTTCTCCTCTTTTGAAATGCTTAGTCATTCTTCCACTTTAATGTAGCTATTTGTAGCCTTCTCAACCCTGTTCCTAGTAATAGCTTGAGATGTCACCTATGAAATACTTCGTCATCAGAATCTTATGGTTTTATGTGAATTCATGGTCACTGAGTTAAACTCAGTTATAAATGATGACATGAAGAAGTAGCAGTGTTACCATTTTTATAAGCCAATGTGCAAAGCATGAAGGACTAATCCTACTTTATAATTTTAATGCACTATATAGTTTACAAGGCATGTTTATCACCAGTATCTTACTTGGAACTCTCAATAGCTCTATACAGAAGGCAAGGCAGGTATTAAAATGCTGATACTATTTTCTTCTTCATATAAGTAAGTAAAAAATATTCTAAGGTACTTAAGGTCATATTTTTCACAGTCTCTAAGACTCAAGTTTTAACAGTCCCAATTCAGTGCTATATTCTCTAATTCATGCCACTCTCAAGAGTCTTAGAAATTGTTTACAATGGGGTGGATGAAACTATTATTTACCATTTAGTGACATATAGGGTGTTTTTCCTTACCATTGATAAAATGTATTATTGTTCAAAAAGCTCAGTCATTTGAATTCTTCTTCTCGTCACTCTGGTTAGGTGACCAGTCCTAAGTGGTGGTCTTCTAGTAGCTTCTAAGCACTTAATTCCAGAAGGTGAGACAGATCCTAGAAGCAGACATACCAAACACCTGGAAATAGCTCAAAGAAAAATGATATAAGGAATGGTAAAATGAATGCAGGAGGAAAGACTAAAGGTGCTTGTGTATTTAATTCAATAAATAATAAGGAGCATAAGAAGAATATATTTGAAAGATGCAAATATCATATTTAAGCTCATAGTTTGTAGAAATAATAAAATATAAGTAATAAGCAAAAGAGTACATTTTGGTTGAGAAAAAACAGAATGATCCAAAAATACTATTCTAAGAGAAAGTAAATGTATCACCATGAGTTATTTAAAATAAGCTAAAAAAAAATTGGGTTTGAATCATGAATAACACCCAAATTGGTGCATCCTTCTGTCAGATTCCTGGAAAGTGTATTTGATGAAACATTGCTTTATTGACATTTGCCTTTCTGTTCTGAACCCTTGAGACTACTCAATACACTGAAAAGGTACCCAGCCCACTCCTTTCTCTTGCTAACATTTGCTACATGAAGTTATATTAATCAAAGTTTAATCAGTGGGAAATCTTATGAACTGTAAGTCAGCCAATGGTACCAAAGTCCCAATGTAAGGGGAATATCTCTTTATGAATTCTTGGGCCATTATTTTGGAACTGTGTCATATCCTAGAACAAAATGCCATCTGTGGAATTATTAGGATATTTTGAAAACATCTACTCATTAAGAATTTTAAATGAAATGAAATAGTTTTTCTACTCTTGAATGAAGTCCAAGTTTTTATATTTTGTCTATGTGCTACTACCTTATTTGCTCTTCAACTTTACTTTTGCTAGCCATAAATTAATGTTTGATTTTCTTTCTGATCCTATTCTTTCCAAATACTCAGTCAACCTCTGTTTCAGATTACATCAGGGCCTTCTTTCGTCCCCTGTAATGACAAACCATAGTCCATGAGTCATAACCCATGTGGCATACGAAACTAATTTTGATTGGAGTGGGAGAATGATGGAATGACCTTGTGTTTCTGTGTTTACTTTTTTCCCAACACTTTAGATGTTGTATTTGCTGTATAAATATATTTATGTTTTATTGCAAATTGGTTGTACTTAGTCACAGAATAACTTCATTTTGAATTTATAGAGTGTTTATTAAGTGGTATGCACTATTTTAGGCACTGGAAAGAAAGAAATCAGATTCATTCCCTCCCCTGCTTCCCCCATAGTAGGTCATAGTCTTCCAGTTGAGAGAGCTCTTCTCACATCAGATTATAATTATTTATGTGTATGAGCTAAAGGTAAGCATAGTAAGCTGTAGGAAGTTATGGAATGGGACAATTAACCCAATCCCCAGAACAAATAAGTCTTCCTTGGGGAGAGTACATTGTTTCAGTAACAGTTTCAATTTCTATAATAATTTTTTTTTTTTGAGACTGAGTGTTGCTCTGTCACCCAGGCTAGAGTGCAGTGGCACAGTCTTGGCTCACTGCAACCTCCGCCTCCCAGGTTCAAGCAATTCTCCTACTTCAGCCTCCTGAGTAGCTGGGACTACAGACACTTGCTACCACGCCTGGCTAATTTTTGTATTTTTTGTATTAGTAGAGATGGGGTTTCACCATATTGGTCAGGCTGGTCTTGAACTGCTGACCTCATGATCCGCCCACCTCAGCCTCCCACAGTGCTGCGATAACTGGCATGAACTACTTCACGGGGTCAGCCATTTCTTATTGACAAGATATATTCTCACTTAACCATTTTTAAAATGTTTGTGGCATAGAGATTATTCATTACTATTTGCACTTCAGAAAGCAAACCTATAACACAATTTATGTGATTAGTTTAAGATCACATAGAGGATAAGGCCAAGAGATTTTAGTCTAGATTTCCTTCCATGGGTACATAATTTTTCCTCTTGTTTCATTTTTAGAAACCATTCTCTCTTGGCTTTTTCAGAGTCCATAGAATTATCATAGTTAAAGATAATACTGTGTCTCTGTGTCCTTCATCTAAATGAAAACAAGTAAAATAGTATACATTTTGGACTCGCATTCTTACCAGGGGTGCTACTTACAACTTCTTTTTTAGCATTACTAGTAGGTACATTCTAAAGATTATGCCACTTCCATTTTTTACTTATTCAGTTTGGACTCCCTTTAAAATGGTAATCCACTTTTCTTTATGTGCACCTTGATATCAACCTCAAAAAAAAAAGTGTTCTGTCCTGCAGTTCAACATGTCCTCTCTGGAGTCACTAGTGAATAGGCACCATTTTTTAATTTTTCCATTTTGAGTAAACGTGTAAACCTGAAAGACGCCAAAAGGGAGATTTGCTTTTGGCAGAGAATTAAGAAAAATAGAGAAGCTGGTCATTATTGCCATATGCCTTGCTAGAAAAAAAAAATCAATCATTGTCTGAGTGTGTGAGTAAAACAAATATGGTTGAGACAACTGTATTTGGTATGTGTTTCTGCAAATCTTTAATTCCTGTGATGCTTTATAATGTCTCTGCTGGAGGAATAGGGGCCAAACAGTTGAGAGCTATAACTGATTGAGCAGGAGGAAGTCTTCACTTCAAGCTTTGTAAATTCATGTTGTCAAAATTGGAGACCTGCTATTTAATATTCCTTTTTAGGTGGCATCTTCATGTCTGAATTCTTGCTCATAATGCTCAGAGATTGTACCCTTTGGGATATTCCATTTTTCACCTTGGAACCTGTCATCCTAGACTGTCCCTGAATAGTTGAGTTCAATGTCACCCATACCCTAGAAAAGAAACTAAATAGCATTTTAATACAAGTGCTAAGTGTCTGGCAGAATCGGGTATTTTTCAGTGGCTGACAGAATGACGTGGCTATAGTCTGTTTCAGTGAAACAGATTTGGTAGAACAGTTTCAATTATGTACCCAAAGAAAAATTTTGGGCCAAATGCAGCCTCATCAAATGCAGTTCAGTGAGTCTGAAAGCAGGTGTAAATGTAGTGGAACCAGGAATTACAGACCATGTAATTTGAAAATGTTCATCATCCAATATACTATAAAGATTATAGACAGGGGCCAGCCTTGTTAAATAAGTCACCCTCCGAAAATCTCAGTTTTGGATAAACGCAAAGAACAAATTATCACTGTTGTGATTTGCTTAAAAAATAAAATTAACATGCACAATATGGCCATGAAATAGATATAGTTATTATGACAGAATTTCATTATTTTTCCTAATGTAATCAGCTGAAAAGATATAAATAAAACAGAAAGTACTTTTTCTTATTTCTTTCCCTATTGTAACCTCAATTTAAAATTATTTTTTCCTATATCAGAAGATACCTTTTATTTATTTAGTCATATATTTATTTAACAAACATTTGTGAGTGCCTAATAGCTGCCTGTTTTCTATAGGCAATATACCAGCACAAACATGCTGATGATGGTGAGGACTACCTATGTCAGTAAATGGTTGCCTTTTTCCCTTGGTAATGAAATGAGCTGAGTAAACTTAGTAAGTCATAAAATAACAAGGTTGTGAAAGACAGATGTACCTCATCGGAGTCTGCTATTACCATAAATATCAGCTAATATCACCTTATTCATCAGAGGGAAATTCTTCAGAGGTGGTTTTTTGCCTTCTATATATGTGTCTATTGTTGTGCTTTATTTTCAACACAGAAGCTAATTTTAAGATTGTTCAGGCTTCAGTGAGCAGATTTTCTTTTTTTGCCTCATGAAATGACATCGCCTCACAGAGCCAATGTTTCCTAGTATTACCATGCTTTAAATGCACAGCTCTAAAAACTGAGACCAAACTATGAAGGAGTAATTATTATTATTTTATTTTATTATTATTTATTTATTTATTTTGAGACAGAGTCTCACTCTGTCACCCAGGCTGGAACGCAGTGGCGCATTCTTGGCTCACTGCAACCTCCACCTCCAAGCGATTCTCCTGCCTCAGCTTACCAAGTAGCTGGGACTGCAGGCGTCCGCCACTATACCCAGCCAATTTTATGTATTTTTAGTAGAGACAGGGTTCCACCATGTTGGCCAGGCTGGTCTCGAACTCCTAAGACAATAAGAAAAATATACACCTCTTCTCTCACCTCCCAAATCACAGGAAAACTGTCATAGGTGAAATTTTCCTATAGTCTGTTAAAAAAATAATCTTTTACAAAGTGAACGCCTAAAGTGTACCATGTCTTAGCATTGATGGTGAGAATGGTGGTCAGTACAACTGTCTGCTCACTGTCTGGGCTCACCATAATATAGCCTGACAGTCTCAGGAAATAAACACCCTTTTATATCACTAGTGGAGGTGCAAAATGATTCAATGTATATTAGAGAAAATTTGGTGGTATCTAACAAAACTACATATTCAGTGATCTTTTCATACAGTAATTCTGCTGTTAGGAATTTATCCTAAAGATCCAGCAGCAACAATGTAAACACATATATGCATGAGTTTATTTCATTGCATAATTATTTCCAATTACAAAATATTGGAAACTACTTAGGCATCCAAACATATGGCATTGAATAAACTATGATACAAAATATATACATGAGGGAACAACCTACAGGCAGAGAACATCATAAAGATCTCTGCAAACAAATAAAATATGATTTCCAGGAGATATGAAGTAAAAATAAAGTTTAAAAAAGCTTACATATATGTTGTTTTTTGTGTGTGTGAGAAGAAAGCAAAGGAAAAACATAATCTGGTTATTTCAAAGGGAATCCCAGGAAGGATAAAACAAAAAATAAAAAAGTTAGGTGATGTGTTGAAGGAATATGGGGCGGAATGAGACGTCTCTGAGTGTATCTTTTTTATATCTTTGAATTTGAAAGTCTCAAAATTTCAATATCTTGAAAATTAAATAAAATTAATAATGAACGAAAGGGAGAAAACAAAACTGACAAATATTAATCCTAGTTGTATTTCAAGTGACAACTATAACTAAGCTGAAGGGAGAAAGAAGGCATGAGAGGAAGATAGGTAGAATCATCCAGTATTTATATCTAGAAAAGTGAAAATTATAGAGACAGAAAGTAGAATGGTGATTTCCCAGAGCTGGGTGAGACAGAGAATTGGGGAGTTAGTGTATAATGGGCATGGAATTTCAGTTTGGGAAGATGAAAAATTCTGGAGATGGATGGTTATTGTACAACATTGTGAATGTACTTAACGCTACTGAACTGTACACATAAAAATGGTTAATGTGATATACATGTATTTTACCAAAAATAAAAACAAAACTTATGCTATGAGAAGAAAGGAAGAGGAAGGAAGGAAAGAAGGAAAAGAAAGAGGGGAGGAAGGAAGGAAAGAAGGAAAAGAAAGAGGGGAGGAAAGAAGGGAGGATAAGAAGGAAGAAAGGAAGACAGAAAAACAGATAAATGAACCAATCAAAATGATTTCATAATTTCATAATATTTGACTATATGAATTCAATCTTGGGTGGGGAAGGGTGTGATGAGGAGAAGAATTGCTAATGAATCTTGAGCTCTTTTTGGTATTCTTGTTTATTGCAGTGATATAGGAAAAATGACTATTAACTATTTTGCATCTATTATTGGATTGAACAAATGAGTGAATATGTTGATTTTGTTGACAACCAGGATTTTCATTATGGAGGAAGGGATATTCAAATACAGAATGGGGAAAGCTATCCCTGTGGATAGAAATTAAAGCATTGGTATGAACTCATATTTGCTAAAATATATATTTTATGTGCATAATGCGTATTTATGTCCACATGCAGATATATATGTATGCATATATTTAGTGTATGTGCGTATGTATATGTTATATATACATGTATGCATATATTTCCTAGTCATCCCTCTGAGATGGCCAAGAAGTAAAGACGCCTGCTGGCAGTGAGCATACCTGGTGCTGAGGTCTTGGGTTCTAATTGTATTCCCCACTAAAACAAATGAGGACTCCTCAGAGAAATGGCTTACTTTATAGCTGGCACAAAGCAGGTGCAAGATGAGCCTGGAACAACTTGCTATGCTAGAACAAAAGCTAATGCTAAAAATTTTTTTTAAAAGATCAAGGAATAACTCAAAAACATAGGAGCCAGCTTAAATGGCCTCCAACTGGCCAAATCTAGGACAGTTTGTATGCCAAAATAAATCATAAAGTACACTAATAAATTTTAAACCAATGAAAAATAGGAATTCATCCCCATATGAATAATAAGATGAATAAGTATGTACCTAAATAGAGAAGAATGGAAGGTTCTTGCTTACAGTAGAATGTAAGCACTGGCTGATAAATGCAGAGGAACATCATTATTTTATAATCATCAGGATAAAGATTACATCAGATGAATTATCAATGGTTGCTGTCTAGGAAAATTTTGATAATGAGAAGGGTATTTACATGATCTTTAAGTATCTCCTCACAGATTGCTTATTAGTTGCAAGGGAAAGAATAATTATTGAGTGAATAAATCTGATAACATTGAGTAGGTGATCAAAATTAACATAACTAACAAGGAACAGATGGTCACGTATGACACTAGACTGATGCCCTGCAAAGGACACGACTCCATCTATCTAATATTTTGTCTGAGAATGTATAACCTTAATTTACTAATGAGAAAATATTTGAAAATAAAAGGAAAAACTTATCAAAAGAAGGTGTATTTTATGTCACTTCCATAAAAGAAAGTTTATTGACTTTTTAGGGTTCTTTATTCTGGATACAAGTCCTTAGTGGCATATGTAAGGTACAGTTATTTTCTTCCAGCTTTTGGCTTGTTGTCCATTCACATAACAGTGTTTTCTAAAGAATAAAACTGATAATTTTATCAAGTCAAATTTTTTATTTTTTCACTTTTTTAATCTAAAACTGTTTTGTCTATCCCAAAATCTTTTTTTCCTGTTTTTTTTTTTAATGTTGTAGTAGTATCTTTTAAATTTATTTACTTCTGTGGTGAATTTCAAGTTAATTTTTGGATAAGTTGTGAGGGTTAGGTTAAGGTTCATTCAGAGAAGAAATTGAGGACATTTGAGAATTAGACAACAGGTCATACATTTCGCAGGTCACTATGGAAAACTTTGAAGACAAATGGTTGTCTGATTTGAATTAAAAAATACAACAGAAACATGAAAGTGAGAATCCAGCAAGTGACCACTGAATGTCTTTTATTTCATGTGTTTAATGTGTAAACTAGGAGCTAAGGCACAGTTGGTCCCAATGGTCTTTAACTGATGTTCACATGTGAGGCTATGAGCATTGAGATGTTCCAGAGTCAGTGTGTGATACCACAGATCATCTCTGCCATGCTGAAGTCCTCTTCCCTAAGCCTCAGTCATTTCTTTCACTTCCTACTCAGAAGACTTCTAGAAATGGCTTGTGTCATTATTATTTTCATTGTGCTTGATGAATACTATGTTTATTACCTTCCCTTCCCAGAGTCAGAATGTTCCAACTACTATGAAAGGTAGCAGTTTCTTAAGCCTTGCTGTAGATGTTCCATGAGTCTGAACAATGAGTTGCACGTGTTTTGAAGCTGTGGCTAATGTGGCAAATATCCTCATGCCCTCCCTCCTTTCCCACAATGTTTCCCTTGGCCCCTCACTCCGTATTCTCTGGAATTTCACTCTTCAATAAAAAGTCAGCATGCCAGCTTCTGCTTCAGACTGTTTTCTAGAAAACTCAAGGTAAATCAATAAGAGAAGAAAGAGAGGAGCTCAATGAGAGAGGGAAGAGAGGATTATGATCTTAAGAGGAAAAGGAGTTCCCTGAGACCCTTATTGAGTCATTTTTTAGTGGGGCCATCGATGAGCCTGGACTATGCCCTATTCAGCCAGTAGCAGCATGGAGGCTGGCTGAGGGCAAGGGGCACCTGGAGCATATGAGCACTGTGTATCCTGGTTGATCCACAGTGACAGGGACTGGCATGAGGAGGAACATGCTAAGCTCTCTAGCTGCCTTTCATCATGGTTGATAGACATATGGAAGCCCAGAGAAGGGATGGTAGCATTTGGAGCATTTAAGAGGACTATAGAGTCAAAATGCTTTTAGATAACCAAAGGGAGACACAAAGAGAGGTGTACACATCATGCATGATTCTAAAGAAAGCAAACAACATTTGGGAGAAAATTACAGTAGCCAGGAAGGGGTGAGACTCACACACCACTGAAGTGTGAGCTGAAATAAAAGCTCTACCCGAAGGAGTGGCCAGCATATTTTGGCTACATTGGCCAGAGTTGTAATTTGAATCCTTTGAAGAAGTCTATTTGCTGACATACTGAGTTTTGTAAAGGAGGACACTAAAGAAATACAGTATAATTCTTAGAGTAGAAAAGTGTTTACAGATATGGTAAATATATTAAATGCTAATAATTTCCCAATATATATGCTAAACATTTTACCAATATGTATTCAGCTTTTAGTTCATTAACTCTAGTAATAAAATGATGTCGAATGCTAAAAAAGTTAAGACAATTAACTTTATGTTTCTGGAACTTCATTAAATACAGTAACATTATAATCAATTGCCTGCATTATTTTTCTATTGCTGCCAATGAATGTCCTCAAATAGTAGTTTAAAGCAGCACCCATTTATTAGTTCACAGTTCTGTAGGTCACAAGTCTGAGCATGAGTTAGCTAATTCAACTGCTTAGGGCCTCACAGGCTGAAATTAGGTTATCGGCGCATTTGTATTCATTTTTCCTAGAGGTTCTGGGAAAGAATCGACTTCAAAACTCATGGAGGTTTGATATGGTTTGGCTGTGTCCCCACCCAAATCTCAACTTGAATTGTATCTCCCAGAATTCTCCCGTGTTGCGGGAGGGGCCCAGGCCCCCGGGGAGGTAATTGAATCATGAGGGCTGGTTTTTCCCGTGCTATTCTCATGAGAGTGAATAAGTCTTACAAGACCTGATGGGTTTATCAGGGGTTTCTGCTTTTGCTTCCTCCTCATTTTCTCCTGCGGCCACAACGTAAGAAATGCCTTTCGCCTCCCGCCGTGATTCAGAGGCCTTGCTAGCTATGTGGAACTGTAAGTCCAATTAAACCTCTTTCTGTTCTCAGTTTCGGGTATGTCTTTTATCACCAGCATGAAAACAAACTAATACAGTAAATTGGTAGCAGTAGAGTGGGGCATTGCTGAAAAGGTACCCAAAAATGTAAAATGACGTTGGAACTGGGTAACGGGCAGACGCTGGAACAGTTTGGAAGGCTCAGAAGAAGACAGGAAAATATGGGAAAGTTTGAACCGCCTAGAGACTTGTTCAATGGCTTTGACAAAAATGCTGACAGTGATATGAACAATAAGGTCCAGGCTGAGGTGGTCTCAGGTGGACATGAGAAAGTTGTTGGGAACTGCGGCAAAGGTGACTCTTGTTATGTTTTAGCAAAGGGACTGGCGGCATTTTGCCCCTGCCATAGAGCTTTGTGGAACTTTGAACTTGAGAAGAGATGATTTAGGGTGTCTGGTGGAATAAATTTCTAAGCAGCAAAGCATTCAAAAGGTGACTTGGGTGCTGTTAAAAGTATTCCATTTTAAATGGGAAACAACATAAAAGTTCAGAAAATTTGCAGCCTGATCATGCAGTAGAAAAGAAAGCCCATTTTTTTGAGGAGAAATTCAAGCTGGCTGCAGAAATTTGCCATTTGCCTCCTGCCATGATTCTGAGGTCTCCCCAGGCATGTGGAACTGTAAGTCCAATTAAACCTTTTTCTTCCCAGTCTCAGGTATGTCTTTATCAGCAGCATGAAAATGGACTAATACGAGGTTATTGGAAGATCCAGTTTCTTATGACTGAGAAACTGAGGTGTACAATTTCTTGCTTGCTGTTGATAGAGGATTGCTCTTAGGTCTTAGAGAGGGCTTGCATTTTTGCTACATTCCTCCAATCTCTGTCTTCAAAGCAGAAACATAAATTCTCCTCACATGGAATTTTTCTCATAGTTTGTCCCTTTAAGGACTCAACTGATTGGGTAATCTAATCATAATCATAATTCAGAAACCTAATCATAGGAATTATATCTTAATATATTTACAAGTCCCTCCCACTCAAGATGGAGGGGATTATACAAAGATATGAGTCATAGTGGGTGATGTTGGAATTTGGACTACTACACTGCATCACAGATGGAGAATATTAGAGCAAAAAATATTTTTAATTTAGAGAGAATGCGGAAGTAGTTTTAGAGTTTTTCTAATGTTTTAAGAGGATATTAGAAATGAATTATGGCTAAGAAGATTCCAGTACTATGGGTCACTCATAATGATAACCCCAACTGCATTTGTAGTTTAGGAAAAATGATGAGACACACACTCACACCTCCCAATAAAACAGAAGACAAAGTAAGATATAACTTAAGTATATAAATGGTATTAGAAAAATGCAGAATGATTGTCTTTTATGTTTTTTTCTTTCCTTTCAATTATTTGTATTTCTTCCTCTGCTATTTTCTGAGACCAAGTCTAGTCTTTCTGCCTGTAATATGACACCGCTTCAAAAGGATTTGTCTTTTATTGAATCATCTGTGATTGACCTGACAATAATTAACTAATCACTAAAATGAGTTACGAAGGGCAAATAAAGATTTCTCCTATATGTCTGCCAAAATAAATATGTCTTAACAGAAGCCTTTGACAATTTTTTTCAGGCCACATCAATTTCTTATAATGGTAATGGTGATGATGTTGTTGGTGGTGTCTATTGAGATGGGAACCTGATTTATTAAATTGGGCTCAAAATGACCCTGGAAAGAAGTAAAACAATCATTTTTAATGAGGTTTACAACTGCTCTTCTTAATCAGCTCCATGGGCTTATACCTCTCCTCCCATTGTAAAATCTAAGACAATTTAATTGATTTTTGACATCCTCAAATAATGTATTAATGGTCTCTTTTTTATTTTATTTTTTAATTGGCAAATAATAATTGTGCATATTCGTGGGGTACATAGTGATGTTTTGGTACATACAATGCATAGATCAGGTGAGAATAATTAGCGTATCCATCTCAAACATTTATCATTTCTTTGTGTTGAGAACATTCAATATCTTCCTCCTAGCTATTTGAAACTATATAACATATTTTTGTTAACTATAGTGATCCTACAGTGGTATAGAATACTAGAACTTATTCCTCCTATCTAGCTTTAATTTAGTGTCATTTAACAATGTTCTTACTACCCTTCTCTTTACCCTACCATTCCCAGCCTCTGGTATCTTCTGTCCTACTTTTTACTTCTAAGAGATCAACACTTTTTAGTTTTCACATATGAGTGAATGGTCTTTATTTTTTGAAAAAATGTAAACACCAGTCTAGTATAATATTAAAAGTCCAAACTGTCATCCATTATAAAACTTCCCTCTTGAGTTTTCAGACAATTAGTGGCTGGCTGTTGTTCCAGTTATTATTGCCACATAATAACTTCAAAACTGCAATGTCTAAAACAACCACTTTATTTTGCTCACTGCTTTATGGCTCAAGAATTTGGGAAGGGCTCATCTGGGCAGTTTTCACTTGGATTTCTTCTGCAATTGTGGTCATATGCTGGTTGGTGCTGCAATCATCGGAAGGCTCATCTGGGCTGGATGTCCCGATGGCTCACTCACGTGACTGGCTGTTTGTTGAGTGCTCAGCTGTGGCTCTTGAAAAGCATGCTTCCATGTGGCTGCTCCATGTGCCTTGACAACTGAGCAACTGTTTGAAGTTCAGGGCTCATTAGAAAACAAACAAATAAAAAACAGTGTTCTAGAAGAAAGCTGGAAGCTGCACATGTATTATCTAGCCTGGAAAGTCACAGAACTTCACTTCTGCCAAACTGTTTGAATAAAAGGGGTGATGAACCACTCAAATTCAAGGGAAAGGGAAAAAGATTCCACTTTTTTATTGTAGAAGAATGTATAAAAATGTATGTCTACCAATGAAAACTATCATGGCCCCTTTATACGAGGTGGAAATCTTGCTCACTATAACTGCACACTTTGCTCTAATGTCAGTGGAAGGTCAGCTTGCTACCAATGCAGCTCCGTCTCTTCTTGCTGACCTTCTACACCCAGGCCCCACCCCAAGCTGGTAAACAATCCACAGCCTTTTACCTTTAGATCACAACAAATATTAGGTATCACCCTATACATCAAAAAAATTTCAGGGGAAACAGGCATATAAACTTTGGTTTAAAACTTCTCTTTTTTTAAAAAAATTATTTATTGGTGTGATGTATGTGGTTGTGTAGTATGACAAATGACCCATCATTGGGGGCTTTATTTGAAATTAGAAAAACTTGAAATTTTATATTATTTATTTATTTTCTGATTATTCAATATAGGCTCTGTACAGAGTATGAAAACAGAAAATAGCCAAACAGCACTTCACAGCATCAATCTGTACAGCTCCCTCGAGGTTCAGAACATACGGAGACTCCATTATTTATGCTGATGATCACATTAGTCACTTGATACATAAAGTCGTCCATATTTTAGGGTAGTTGGCTTTGAAGAACTTGGAATTAATAAAGAAAAAATTATATGCAAGAAACATTTTTCAAACTTTAATTTATCTAGAATATGTATCATTTAACATTCGAGAACTATGAAATGATTCCCAGAAAGGAATTACCAGAAAGCAACCTTAAAATACTTGCAAAGTAATAGAAAACACATCCAAGTTAAATGATGAAACTCCTTCCTCCAGGGTTCCTAAACTCATATTAATAATGTGAACATTGGACATGTATGAATAAGTTTTAGTGTTGTTACTTGCAGTAAAGTTTGTATAAGAGAAATAGGTGTGATTCTGTCTTCCAGAGATTTGACTTTAGAGGATAACACACTATTGATAGCTTATAAAGCAAAATGCTTCTGCTGACTGCCATAGGCCTATGGAGAACTTTGCAGAATGTTGCTGTTATCATCCAGCAGGAAGATTTGAGCATCATCAGTTTTATTTCTTAAGTGCATGTCAGACAGGCCCACAAAATCCCTGCATGGGAATTATCTCAGAGCTCCGATAGAATCCCAGTTGGGAGGTCCACTTGGAAGAAGTAAAGAAATCTGTAGTTGCTGCTTTTGTGAATTGGGTATGTGTCACTTTTATTAACCACGTCCCAACTTCATGGATTGCTTAGAAGAAAAATTTGGTTCAGTATCTGTTCAAGTTGTAAATTTAACTAATGAGAGTTATAAACTGTTATATATAATTTTAGTCATTTAAAATTAGTGCATTATGATAATCAGCCTGGGATAGCAATGGAAGTTTAAAAGTCAACTTCTTATGAATACATTTAAACTGAGTGGTGTGTGTGTGTGTTCAGGCACACACACATGCATCTATGCCCTAGGAGTGCATCTTTTATGTTTAATATTTTATCACAATATATTAACCTTTTTTTAAGACATGAGAGAAAAATCTTCATTTTTTATAATATTATTTGAATTATCCTTTTCACTTGGCGTTCCTTCTTATCTGTATTCTTTAAGTGACATTTAATAGGAATAGTGCAGTAGAGTGTGTCAGATATAAATTTTTAGGTATAAATCTCAAGTGTGCAAATATGTAATTGCCTTTATTTCTATAGCTAAATTGACCATTGATCTCGTTTAATTACTTATGTTTGAAAGAGAAATTTAACCTTGCAAAGTCAAGTCAACTCAGTCAATTTTAGTTGAAAACCTAGTCACTTTGGCTGTAAATACATGATCAGGTGAAGGTTTTCTACTCGCCTTCCCCTTCTCTCCCTGGGTGACATAAAAGTGCAGGCAGAGGTGAGGGGTGGGAATGCACATGTTTCATGTTATAATGGCAGAAATATACTTCCACTGACTTCTGTTGAAATAGGTATTTCTGCACATGATCTTGGTTGTGTTCTGGCATCTATTTCTGGCATAGGTAGTTTTACCATGAACTCCAAAATCCAGAGCACACAGATTTTTCTGTTCATATCTTGTTTCTAGACTCTTACTTTATAGTGTCACACCTCCAGGAAACACTGATTTATCAACAGAGTCCATTTTCCTCCATGTAAGATTGCTTAGATTCTTTAATATTCTAATGAGAAATATTAAATATACAGAACATATTTGTGACACACAGCTGTATATTTAATCTAAGAGCAGTTTGCACTCAGTTTGCAGGAGCCAAAGTTGGCTAAAAGCGCCCTGTTCTCCAAATTTTGAGTATCTGTGCTCTCATCTCTGATTACTGCTTTTGATCACAGAAGTACAGACAAAGAGGGAGGAAAATCGTTGTTGCGCCTCCACCCATTGTTTCACTCCCACTCTGGCTGAAGTGACTTTCTGGGCACTTAAAGGGCTGGCACACCTTTTTACTCCCACTTTCAGTTATATCTTTCTCTCCTTTTGGGAGCCAGACTTTAAAGACCAGGACATTCAAAAACAACTGCATATTAGAAAGTGACTGCACATGCTGTTGGCTCAGAAGAGCTGAGAAATTAAGTTTACATCTCAGACTGATGCTTGGCACAGAGACAACCTACAATTGAAAAAAAAACTAAATAAACACAATAACGAAAACAAAAACCCTACAGACATGGGAAATCAAATTTCCAGAGATGCCACATTATTAGATTTAAATGTCCAGTTTTCAACAATAACAACAAAATCACAAGACACACAAAGAAATAGGAAAATATAGCCATTCAAAGGAAATAAAAATAAATCAAAAGAAACTATTCCTTTGAAACATCTGATGGTAGATATTCTAGAAAAAGATTGTAAAACAGTTGTCTTATAGATGCTAAAAGAACTGAAGGAAGATGTAGAGAAAGTCAAGAAAATAATATGTGAACAAAGCAGAATATCAAAGGGTTAGAAACTGTAAAAAGAAACCAAAAAGAAATTGTGGAACTGAAAAGTACAGTAACTGAAAGTATAATAACTAGAGGCATTTAAAGGAAGATTGAGCAGGGAGAAAAATAGAATTAATGAAGACAGGACAATGGAAATTATCATGTCTGAGTGACAGAAATAAAAAATACTGAAAAAACATTATCAGAGTCTAAGGGACGTGTTCAACAAATCAAGATATGCATTGGGGGAGTCCTGGGAGAAGAAGAAATAGAGAAAAAAAGGGCATATTTGGAAAAATAATGGTTGAAAACTTCCCATATTTGATGAAAGACAAAAAAAAAGCATCCAAGATCAACAAATTCTATGTAAGATGAACTCAAAGAGAGTCACGTTAAAACAAATCATAATCAAAGTTTGAAAAAAGACAAAGAGTGGGCCTTGACGGCAGCAAGGGAAAAGTAACTTTGGTCAAGGGGTCCTCAAATAAATTATCAGCAGATTTATTATCAGAAACTTTGGATACTAGAAGGCAGTGGGTTGATATATTCAAAGCACTAAAAGAAGAAAAAGAACATCCATGCATCCTAAATTCAGCGAAGCTCTTCCTTAAAAGTGAAGGTGAAATAAAAACATTATGAGACACAAGCTGGGAGACATTATTACCACTAGACCTGCACTTAAAAAATATTCTTGAGGGTCCAACAAAGTGAAAGAAAGTAATACTAGACAATAACTCAAAGCCACATGAGGAAATAAATGTCTCAAAAAAGTAAATACATAGGCAATGATAAAAGCTAGTATTGTTGTAACAAAGGTTTGTAACACCACATTTTTAAATGTAATTTAAGATAGTAATATATTTTAAAAGATTATTTATTTATTTTGGGGGGAAACACAATGTTTAACTATATAATGTTGTGAAATCAGAAGGGGTGGGAATGGAGCTGTAAAGCAGAGTTTCTGTATGTTGTTGAAGTTAAGCTGGTATAAATTAGAACATTATAACTCTAGATATTAAATATAATTCCCATGGTAACCGCAAAGAAAATAACTATAAAATATATACAAAAGGAAATGAAAAAGAAATGTAAATATTTCATTAAAAAATCAACTAGATGTAAAAAAAGACAGTAATGCAGAAAAATGAGGGCAAAGAAAGCTAAGACATCACAAAACAGCAAAATGACAGAAGTAGGTCCCTCTTTATTAGTAATTACCTTCAATGTAAATGGATTAAACTCTCCAATCAAGAGACAAAAATTGGTAAAATGAATTTTTAAAAAATTTAGCTTGTATGTGGTAAGAAACTCACTTGAGATCCAAAGACAAATAGATTGAAAAAGAAAATATGTATATTTTTTATTTTGTTATTTTTATATTCCATAAAAATGACCAAAAGAGAGCACAGGTGGCTATACAAAATCAGACAAAATAGACTATAAATCAGAAAAGTTTGCAAGAAACAGAGATATATTAATAAAAGTTTCTGACTAGAAATATTTCCAATACACCCAACATTTTGGGGGGTATTTTATTTAGTTATTCTTAGTAGATGGGTTAGCCTGATACAAGCTACTTCTTCATAGTTGGAAGTTAAGGTATATTATGGTCATTTTGTTATCTTGATTTCTTGGGAACATGCCTGATACCAGTACAATGTATCTTCCCACTGAAGAGGACATCTAGAGTGGTCTCTTTGCAGTAGTCCCTTTTACTATTTTTGAGGTGAGCGCCAGGTCCCCTCCTCTTTCCCTCCTGAAAGTTCCCACAGCTTTCTCTCAAAGCCCTCCTTACAAAATCTCACCTCTGCCCCCACCACCTTTGGCTCTTGAGACTTTTAAATCCTTGATGTTTGTTTTAGAGTTATTATTTTTCTCAACCACTGGTCTATTCTCCAATTAACTTCAGAATGTAGCTTTCTTATCTTCATCTCCAATCAAAACTGAGAGCAACTGAGTCCTTTGAAAATATTCTATTGTATTTTACTTAAAATATCTATTAAATGTTTAATTTCATATCATCCAAAAAAAGGTAATGACTCATGGCTCTATCTTATTCTATCTTAATCTAAATCTGCATAAATTTTCCCCTAAATATCTTCCTCTTTGTCATCAAATACAAAAACAAAAGTTGAAGTAAGAAATTCTGGTTTCACTGAGTTATCCTTAACATTGCATAATTGGTTGTAAGCTACATATCCACATTCAATATAACCTTAAAAATCCTTTCCATTGCCCTTAGCTTTTGCTAAGCCTTGTTTTATTTTATAGTTTGGCCTTCAAAATTCTACCATCTGAGTTTTGAATTACTCGCATATATTTGTCTTTTTTTCTCATCATTTTTACCTGCGTATCTTAAACCAAAATTTAAACGTTCTTGGATCCACACTGGATTCTTTCACCACATTCTTACTTTCTTTTTTATTTAAATGTTTTATTGTATAATCAATACTGAAGTTCTGAAAGCCTTCAAATGTTAGAGAAAGCTTTTTTCTCCCATAGTCTTATGGTATGTAGTAATACCTCTGTCTTTTCTAAAATGTTTGAAATCTAACTTCCTTCCTATCATCTAGTAACTAGGGATGTAAAAAGAGATACTAAAAATGATCTATTATGTTACATTCACTTATATATTTTCTTAGTTGGCAAATTACAATTTACTGAATGAGTTTTACTTTTGTTTACCTTAGTTTTATAATATACTAAAAATATTGCCTGATACAATAGAATAATATTTTGCAAAATATTTTATCTGCTGGGTAAGATGCAATTAAAATTTACATTGCATCCAATATACTCAGAAGAACGGAATATTGATTGATATTTATAAGAGGACCAAGCACAAATGAGGTTTTTTTATTAACAGTTTTTCAGTATAATGTTCTATTTTGGTGCATATTCTTTACCAGCATATTCATTATCATAATTTCAGTGTAAAGTTATGCAGTAAATTAAATGAAAATCTTTTTAAAAATTTATCCTTGAGTAACTTCGTAAGCCTCAGAAAAGAGGTCTCAATAAAGCCTATTTTGCAATAAATATTCATTATCCTCTTATGTAAATATCACTGCTTGGATTAGTCAGTACACTTAAGAGATTAATGACAATAAATAAGTTTTATACCTCACACATAGCTGATATATCCATTTCCAGATCCTTATGTGTATGCGGACATTATATGTCATATTCCTATAAACTTCTTGTTATAAATATCAGCACTGTAACAATAATGACCTTATCATACATTTCACAAATCAGAGACGTTACTTGTAGGGAATATAAACCATTAGACACATTTTAAATGTGATGGTTGATTTATTTTTGGTATATACAAAAGTCTCTGTAGCTTTTCATACTGTCAAGAACCTGGAACTATTCAAGAAATATAAGTCTGTTGGCTCTGTGTGGTTAATGACACTAAGTCCGAAGGGGGGAATGAAACAGAAGGCCTCAGAGCTGAGTAAGACACATTTAAAGGTCTCATCCAATGCAAGATCTCAGTGGGATTTCAAGCAGTGTGTAATGTGGAAGGTCATAGACAAAAACTTTATAATAAACCTTTCTAGCCAGAAAGCAGTCTTCCATGCAATCTATCCCCAAAATGGCACACTAAATAAAAATAACATCGCTAAGTTCATAAGTTCCAATATACTACTGGTATATAATTAGATATCCAAATATTTGGTCGTTAAAAAAATATGATATGGGTACATTGTTGTATCTAGCCCTCCTTTGTCACCTCCAAATAGTGAAAAAATAAAAGTAAGATGGATACACAAATAATGATAATGGACAAAGGTTAAATATAATCACAAAATGAAATCTCCCTAAGAAAATATAGTTTGTTTTAGTTCAATGAAGAAAATAGTAGTTTCTTCATGTGGCCAGTAATCCTCATTGCTTTATTAATATATTCAAAAATGGTTAGTGAGCTTGTATCATATGAATAGCAAACTATGCCACCTGGATTAACCAGCAAAATTAAATCTTAAATGATTAGAGATGATCTCTCCATGTTTATCCTTTTAGCCACCAGTTATCTCCTCTCTCTCAAGTCTCCATTGTAGCTGAAAAGACATAAATAGGTGTGAGTTTAGTAGGTGTTTTATAAGAGAGGAGGAAATTTAAAAATGTAGATAGTTATTAAAACCTTTAAATATTTGAGTGCACTAAAGTGTATTGCTATGCATCAAATTTATGTTTGCTCTCTTTTAGTTACAGCCTTAATTGCTTCCTTTTTGTGTACCATCTCACATAAACTATTGTTTTATGTATTAAATCAAAGAAGCTTTGTTCACACTCACTATAACTCACCTCACTTTTTGCTCTACCTGCATACAAATATTTAATAACATCTTTTGTATCTACACTTCTTGCAATATCTTACTTTTGCATAATAATGAGAGCCGAGAAGGTAAGCTTAGTAGCAACACTGATGTAATTCTCAGGTTGAGTTTTATCTCTAAATGTTTTTCTCTAACATTGAGTGCCATAGAACCTATTAGCTTGCTCTGGATAAAAGTGTGAGACTGATCTATAAAGATTGCAAATGAGGGTTAGGATTCACTTTTGGGAGTCCTTATTTTTTGCAGGAAATCTAGAATCCTTCATGCTTACCTTAACAAAACCCCAGCTGCCACTATGTCTCTGCTGACAACCTCCATCATTTTCCCACCAATAAGACATAGGAAATAAAGGGGAATCAATATTAAATTTATTTTACATGTGAAGTACCAATAATTTTTCTTTAACACCCTACTCTGATGCACTTCAGCCTGCAACTTTGAAGTGGAGTATTTCTAAATCAACGTCACACAACAGTGGAACTCAAGGATGTTATTTATTCAGATGTTCTTCCAGGTTTGAGAAAAGATACAGGCATCACTGTCCACCTTCCATCTGATGAGCCTTTCTGGCATTTTAATTACCTGAGTACTGATTTTATCTAGCTAGAAGTTTATCTTAGTGTAGTGGCGGCAGCAGCAAAACAAGGTCACAGTTACAATATCACCGGGGAGATCCAGACACATCACTTTCAAAACACCCGTAATAGTCCTAGCACTTCGGGAGGCCAAGGCAGGCAGATCAATTGAAGTCAGAAGTTGGAGACCATTCTGGTCAAAATGGTGAAACCCCTTCTCTACTAAAAATACAAAAATTAGCCAGGCGAGGCGGCATATCCCTGGAGTCCCAGCTACTCCGGAGGCTGAAGCAGGAGAACTGCTTGAACCCAGCAGGCAGAGGTTGCAGTGAGCTGCGATCGTGCCACTGTACTCCAGCCTGGGTGACAGAGTGAGACTCTGTCTCAAAAACAAAACAAACAAAAAACACCCATAATGGGACAACATTGAAGCTGTACCTTCTGCATAGCCGTTCTTTTCCTCTAATCACCCCTACTTCTCTAATTGATTCTCCTTGTTTTTTTTTTTTTCCAGTGTCTGAGTTCATGACATACCCTGGTTCTCAGCTGGATGTCAATTAATCCCTAGTAACTAAGATGTTAGCCAATAAAGCTTTATATATTCCCTCCTGCAGTTATTCACATATCAAAAGAGAGGAAATAATCCTGTCAATCTAGAAGGATTGAGTTTTCAAAAAGAAATTATGCCTATCTCTCCTCAACGGTTCCTAATCAGTGACTTCTAATTCCAGTTTCACTCATCAAGTAATACAAACTGAAAAATCTATATGTGCTAACCAAACAGCTGTCCGACGATGTCTTAGAAACAGGGTGGTTAATCTAGACACATCACAAACTAGTGCTAGAAAGGAGTTGGAAGAAACCAGTGAGCCTTTTACCAGAGCAGAGCTCTGTTTTATTCCAGACACCCACCAGCAGCTTATATAAAAGTCTAGAATCAGATCAAACATTTGCATAATTCTTTATATCATGTAGTCAGCTATACCTCACGTTTAATACTATCATTATCATAGCGACAATATAATATTTTAATTAGAATTTTTAAATATACCTCAAAACCGTATTGAAACTTACCAACAACAAACTAAAGGTAAACAGAGAAAAAAACTTCTCCAACAACATTTTTGGGATCAGAAATACCACCCAAAGTCCAGAAGCCCAACTGTTTGTCAAAATTAAAAGATGACAAAAATATAAGTAGGTAATTTTTAAACTTCAAATAAAACTAGAGCAAAAATTAAGCTGAATAATCAAACTCTGACTAGGTCAGAGTTTATTGCCTGGAGACTCAGTTCTCTGAAACAAGGTAAGGCCGGTGAGAAATTCTTTGAAGTAGTTAATGAAATAAGATAAGGACTTTGTTCCTCCTGATTTACACATGTTCCTAGTGCTGTTACCTGAATCAAATATCCTTCCTGAACTCAACCCCCTTAGTAAAAAGGACAGCAAAATCTACCTGGTAAAGTTACCATGAATATTATTGGCTCATTCAGTGTAAATATAGTTGAGTGCTTTATGTGCCTTTCTGAATACAAAATATACATGCTCATCTCAGAAAATAAAACCTCGCTACTCCTTGAAAACACTTCGGCATTTTTTCCCTAGTATTTTATCTTAGTATCACAATCCTAAATCTTGCTTTATTCACTAAACATGTTATCATGAGAGGCAAATGCTGCTAAACACAAAGCCCAGAAAATCTGAATCTCAGATCCTTTCATGGAATTGAACAGGTTGCTAAAGCTCTATGAGTCTCAATATTTTTACTTTGATGATGGGGATATTATTAGCTACTTCATAGATTCATTTAATGAGATAAAGAATGTAAAAAGCCTAGCACAGATTGGATATATATAATTTATCAATAAATTATGTCCATTCTATCCTGGAAGCTAGTGAAATCAAGCAAGGGAACTAACAGGCAAAACCATCCATCAAGTAACTAGGAACTATCCTCAGGTCTTCAGTGCTTTCAAAACTGTCAGGAAGGGGTGTGTGCGTGCGTGCGCATTGAGTGTGTGCCTACGTGTGCGTGTGTGTGTACATGCCATGCTTATGTGCAAATGTGCACACATACATGCTTTGATGTATATTACCTTAAGACACTACCAGAGTGGAAATCTCTTCTGGGGCAGGGACACAGAGATGGGTGCGTGTGTGTGTGTACGTGCCATGCTTATGTGCAAATGTGCACACATACATGCTTTGATGTATATTACCTTAAGACCCTACCGGAGTGGAAGTCTCTTCTGGGGCAGGGACACAGAGATGGATGCCTTCTGAAGAAGCCCATGGGGAAAACTGAGGTAGGCTGCTGATCACTCTGCAGTCCTGCTAGACATCTCTGTCACTGTGAAAAAGGAGTCACCATTCATGACAGAATCTGCTAGGCCTTTTGCTCCTGTACAGTCTCTAAGTAGCAGGCATTCCTGTCCTGCACTTTGGAGCCTCCATGCCAAGATGGCATGCTGAGATTTTGCAAGCACTGGACCAAAAGGGTTATTTTTGAGCTAGATGTGGCTCACGGAATCTAAGCAGAGTACAAGGTAATAAAATCAAGACTTTGCCAACAAAATTACCCCCTTATTCCCTGTCATTAAGATAGTTCTGCTTTACTCCACAGGATATAAAGAGGATTTAGTTGAATAAGTCCTATTATTTATTACAGCCACCATTTACAACAGAAATAGTTTCCACCCGCCTGCTTTAGGAAAATGGACAAATTACTAGATCATCACTTATGGCCACAGAAACATCAGTTTCCTAGCCAACAGAACACACTGCAGATAAAAAGATACAAGATGACAGAGAAGGTGATAGAGCAAGGAACGGAAGCTTCTGACTTTCTAGCATTGACTTTGAAAGTCATAGAAATATGAGAAACTTTTAGAGGCAGCAAAGTGGACTGGAAATGTGGAAATGTAGGCTTCCAGGTATACCCACACAGAAATTTAACCTCAAAGAAAGACAACAATTTTACCACAATTCATTGACGGGTTGAATTTCCAGCTTTCATGTAAGGTCATTGAAAATAAGAGTAAATGCAGTCTTTTCAAATAAACACAACTATCTATTTTGTTCTCATTCAATCAAATTCAGAATGAAACACAATGTCTGGATACATTTAAATTCCTTGACGGTTAAATGCATTTGTAATGTTGGTAAAGGAAAAATTATATATTTTAATGCACTAATGCAAGAGAGACCTGTATCTCCTGACATCTTTGAAAGTATATATTTATAATTTTTTTCTTTCTAAAACTATGATTGTCCCAACCTGTTTCTTAAGTTAAAAATAAAATAATTACATTTTAACAATCGCAAACATTTTGAGTATTTTTGAAGAGTAATAGCCTTTAGTTGGTTTCTAACTTGATAACTCTACTGTATGAATATGAATAACATATATAATATATATGGATAATTTTAAAAGTATTTAAATAGCCACCACTTTGTCTTTTCTAGTCTAGTTTCTCTTTAATTAAAGGCTGTAAAAATCCACAGGGACTTTTGTATAGCTGTTACTTCTGGGAAGTCAATCAAATAGTCTGGGGTTCCTAGTCACCTGGGAAGCCAGGAAGAAAATACACTTTAACAAAGTACAAGTGCAGTTGCCTAAAAATCTGGAGTCTGACTTCTGGTACTGCCACCTCTTAGGAGCATTTGACTTGAAAAAGTGACTTAAGTCCATGAAACCTAGTACACACGTCTTCCTGCATTAGATTACAGGCCAAGAACAGGGTGCTTTGAAAAAATAATTAAAAATATACAAACTTTGTGGAGTTGTTTGGATTAAAAAAATTAGATGTTTTATAAATATGTAATAATAAAGTGGAATTCCATCTATTATTCCATTCTCTGGAGATAATTGCCTTCAACAGTTCTATTTCTCTGCTCATCTTAGTGTATTATTATTTTTATTGTCGTTATTTTATTTTATTATAAATATTTTTTGAGACGGTGTCTCACTCTGTCACCCAGGGTGGAATGCAGTGGCACAATCTTGGCTCACTGCAACGTCTGCCTCCTGGGTTAAAGCGTTTCTCCTGCTTCAGCCTCCCAAGTAGCTGGGACTACAGGCGCCATACTACCACACCCGGCTAAGTTTTTATTTTTACTAGAGACAGGGTTTCACCATGTTAGCCAGGCTGGTCTCAATTTCCTGACCTCAGGTGATCCACGCACCTTGGCCTCCCAAAGTGCTGGGATTATAGGCGTGAGCCACCACGCCCAGCTCTTCCATTTTATCTTAAGAAGTTTCCCTATCTAGTAGACTCTCCTCTGATAAATTCAAATATTATTTGATGCATAATTTTCTTTTTTCTTAACAACAGTTTAACAACAGTATTCCTTGCATAAAATGAGAGACACCTCTATTCGTTGCAATTTCAAGTCGTTCCAGTTCTTCCAAAGGTCAAGTTACTGCTATCCCCACATAATTTAAACATTTATAATTCTTTGCCCCCTAGGAGTTAAGGAGCTTCTAAACAGAACTTGCTTGCAGAGAATGCTTTGTGATCAGAGAAACTTGCTCATTAGCTTGAAAAGACAGTTAACATTTCAAAGTGTAAAGACATTATAATTGTATTTTTGGTGTAGTAGAGAGCGCCTAATGAAAATTATAGAGATGCTACATTTGTTTAAAGATTTTAAAATACAAGTGTATACTCTAAAAAATACCAAAAGGATTACACAACTTAGTCTCCTTTGCTCAGAAGCCACAAGTTATATTTAAACAATCACAATTTATGGAAGCCTGGAGAATTTCATGTTTTAAATATTATAAATCTATTTGGGATGCTTGTTGAATCTGAGGTATGTAATATGCCATTTATAAAGATATATGTAAATATCCACAACTCTGTATGTCGATAGCTGTTTAAAAATGGATACTTTCATTCCCTCATCCAAGCACATGCAGTAGCATGCTGACTATGTGCCAACAACTGTACTAGTTTCTATAGGGAATAAAGAAGAAAGGAAAGTTTCAAGGTACAAGCACCCTCGCACACTGTTGGTGGGACTGCAAATTGGTATACGTTTTGCAGGCAAGATGGACAGACTTTCTTGAAATCTGAAATGTGTATAGTTTTTGATCCTGCATTGCCACTTCTGAGAGTTTCTCCGAAAGGAAAAAATGTGGCTGTGTGTTTGTGCATGCATATGTGTGAATGCAGAAGTTGCAGTGAGCTGAGATTGAGCCACTGTACTCCAGCCTGAGCAACAGAGCAAGACTCTGTCTCAAAAAACAAACAAACAAACAAAAAGATAAAGTGGAACATAGTTTACAAAATAATTGGAGACTTCTTAGTAAATATTTTTATGATTGTGATCTTTTTGGAGTTATAATTTCACTTTAAGATTTCATAATTGGCACATATGAATCACTTCAAAGGATGAAATCCAGAAATTGAGTTCAGTATTCAACGAAAGCAACATAGTGATGTCAAATCTGTTAGCTCATTTGGGCTACATGGGCAAGACAGGGGAACGATTCAAAACCTAACAGCTAATGTCACACTCAGCAAGAGAACAAGGCAAAGAAGTGGCTTAAATACAAGTAAATATTGCAGAGGCAGAGGTCATGAAGATTCAGACTCAAGACAGACAAGTGGCAGAAATGTGGCAGACAGATGGAAAAAGAACTAACATGCATTGATTTTTCAACATAAACCAGGCACGGTGGCAACATCTTTTCAGACAGCTCTTATTTCTCTTAATCCTTCCAACAGCCTCTGACAGTCATTTATACTGATATTTATAGAAGAGGAATTGAAGCTCAGAGAACCTAAGTGGCTTTCCCAAGGGTTACTCAGTTAATAAAAGTTAAGGTTAAAGCAACAAAAAGGATATTCTTTGAACTGCCCCATGCTACAGACCAGGGTGAAGACCCAAGTGAGAAAAATCTGTCTTATAATAGGGAGAGAACCTGTCTTTTCAGTAAGTTTCTGAAACTCTATGAGAGTAGGAAGTAAGAACTGGTTTCCTAATATGGGATTAAGTTTAGTCCAGCAGTTTCTCTAAGTATCATTTTAGGACCACATCTGTAAATATTGCCTGGATCCTATTAAAATGCAGCTTTAAGAGTTTTAACAAACATCACACATGACTTTTAAGCACAGTAATACTTCAGAAATACTGATTTAAAGGCTCTAAGTTAGTTGTGATCGTATAAACCTTGATACCTAGCATATCCAGAGGAAACCGGTATTTAAAATTCAGAGGAAAGCTATCCAGTTTTGCAGTTTCTGAATATGATTAAAAATAATCATGAAATGAGGACAGCAGAATTAATTCCACCCTTAGTGACAAATTAAGTCAGAGCAGAAAAAAATAACATACTAGAAATCAATTTCAAGGATTATCAAATAACAAATGACAGAATTACTAAACGCTAATAACAGAAGTGTCAGTTACACTAAAGCATGTGAAAAGCATTTGAATCGCAAACTAGCGTATGTTGATAGTTCTCATGGGTTTTCAGAACTTTGAGGTAAGATGGGATGTAAGTAGTTGGAAGAGTATTTTCTAAAGCAGCTGTTCACCTACTATTTTCAGACATATTAGAATAAGGGCTCAGGTAATTAAAGTTCCACCTTCAATTTAATTGCCAATTACTCTATCTAAGTGAATCTGGTAGATGCTGTATAAGAAAGCCAAGGAGTCCAAGCGCCCAAAATACTTAATTATCAATTGGGAATTGTACATACAAATTGTCTGTGGGGGAAAAGGAGGATTCTTTCTAGAGTAATCGCGTTTAGTACCTATGATGGACTCTACCAATGTCAAGAAGGAAAAATGTTATTCAGGAAACAAATTTCCTTTCCTTCATTCCACATGTCTTTCAGAAATACTATTTTATTTCTTATTTTTTGTTTTTGCATTTCAAACACTACATCCACAATAATTTTTCCACTCACCTCAAATAAGGTGAAGTGTAACATGTTACAACTTCCAGGCATGATATTCAAGCATAAAGGGATTTGTCACCCATGAACACACATGTAAGTTCTAAAGTGACTCAGGAAAATTTAGTTAACATTTATTTTGTTTTATATAATCTCCTAGCACTATTCAAATTATTTATATCAATCATCTGCTTTAATTCTCTCAGATATGTTAATTTAGTTCTCTCAGATATGTTATCAATATACGCATTTTACAAATGAGACCAAGACTCAGAAAAGAGGAAAGTTGCCCAAGTCACAGAGTCTGTAAGTACTGGAGCCAGGATTTCATCCCAGGAAATCTGACTCTAGAGCCCAAACCTTAACCACAATGCCATACTAACAGCAATTGCAAACACAAATGTGAATATATGTAGTATCCAAATCAGCACAAATGTCTCTAACATGGAGTACTTAATGCTTTTAAGAAAATAAATGCAAAGTTTTAAAAATATGCCTATTGCACATGTTTTAAATAAAGGAGCTTTACACAGTTGAGTATGGATTTAATTTTGATCCTGTGTAGCTCAATTTCTAGAATCTGTGACTAATAATGAGAATCAAAGTTCATACTGACAAAGCTGCATCTCTGAAAGATTCTAAAGTTTCTTTTCAAAAATGAAAAAAAAATTAAAATGATGTCAGTATAGCCTGATTGTTATGTACTTTAATTATCTGAAAATTGACAATTTGTTAATGGTTTTGGAATAAGATAAACTAGGATCACATCCAAGCTTAGTCACTGACTATTGCTGTGATCTTAGCCAAGAACTCATTGTTAGAACTCGTTGTTGTAATCCTGTATGTTAAGAAGGTAGACTAATTATTACCCCAAATGCTCTTCCTGGTCAGGCTACATCAGAATCCTGCAGGAGGCTTGCTAAAACTTCACGTTCTTAGGACTTAGACCAAAATATGTTGAATCAAAATCTCTGATGGTAGATATTCACATTTTAAATAAGTCCTCCAGGTGAACATGTGAGCACTGAGTTTTGAAAACTAATGGACTAGATGACTGAAATATTTCCAAGACACAATTTCACAATTAAAATAAATTACAGCTTCTTTTTCCTAATTTTAAAGAAAAGAAAGAGCTAAAAATTATATCAAAAATATAATGAACTATAATTAATACTCTGTATGTTATTTTCTTCCCAATAGAGAAATTTTACTCATTGCCATTCTTTTTGCCTGTATTTACATTTTTCAGATTTTTAAAATTTATTATAGGTACATAATAGTCGTATATTTTTCTGAAGTAACTGTAAATTTCTTTAATACACATGTCTCACTCTATTGCCCAGGCTGGAGTGAAGTGGTGTGATTACAGCTCACTGCAGCCTTGACCTCCCAGGCTCCAGTTATCCTCCTATCTCTCAGCCTCCTAAGTAGCTAGCGCTACAGGTACACACCACCATGCTTGGCTATTTTTCTTTTCTTTTTTAATTTTTTTTCTAAAAACAGCGTTTTGCCATGTTGTCCAGGCTGGGCTTGTGGTGTTTTGATAAAGGCACACAATGTGTAATGATTAAATCCAGGTAACTGGGGTATCCATCTCTATTAGGCTGTTCTTAAATTGCTGTAGTGAAACATCTGAGACTGGATAATTTATAAAGAAATAGGATTAATAGCCTCACGGTTCTGCAGGCTTTACAGGAATCCTGGTACCAATAGCTGCTTGGATTCCACAAGGCCTCAGGAAGCTTAAAATTATAACAGAATGTGAAGGGAGAGCAGGCACATCACATGGTGAAAGTAGGAGTAAGAGAGAGTAAGGGGAGTAAGTGTCACACATTTTTAAATGACAAGATCTCACAATAACTTACTATCATGAAAACAGCATCAAGCCATGGGGGATTTGCCCCAGTGACCCAAACACCTTCCACCAGACCCCATCTCCAGCACTGGGGATTATAATTCAACATGAGATTTGGGTGATGACAAATATTGAAGCTATATCATTCTGCCCCTGGCGCCTTCCAAATCTTGTGTCCTTCTCACATTGCAAAATATAATCATACCTTCCCAGCAGTCCCTCAAAGTCTTAACTCATTCCAGTGTTAATTCAAAAGTCCAAAGTCCAAAGTCTCATCTGGGACAAGGCAAGTTCCTTCTACCTATGAGCCTGTAAAATCAAAAACAAGTTATTGACTTCCAAGATTCAATGGGGTTATAGGCAATGGGTGAATATTACTATTCCAAAAGGAAGAAATCAGCCAAAAGAAAGGGGTTATAGACTAGGAGCAAGTTTGGAACCCAGTAGGCCAATCATTAAATCTGAAAACTCCAAAATAATCTCCCTTGACTTCATATCCTGTATCCAGGGCACACTGGTGCAAGAGGCGGGCCCCTATGGCCTTGGGAAGCTTTACTCCTGTGTCTTTTCCACACTGAGATTGCAAGTTGCTGATTGCTGTACCATTCTGGGGTCTGAAGTTCCCACAGCTCCACTAGGCACTGCCCTAGTTGGAATTCTGTGTGGAGACTCCAACCTCACATTTCCCCTCCACGTTGTTCTAATAGAGGTTCTCTGTGAGGGCTCCACCCCTGCAGCAGGCTTCTGCCTGGGCACCCAGGCTTTCTCATACATCATCTGAAGTCTAGTCAGAGCCTTCACTTTTGCACTCTGCATGCATGCCTGCAGGCTAAACACCATGTGGAAGCTTCCAAGGCTTATGGCTTGCATTCTCCAAAGTGGCAACTCAAGCTGTACCTGGGCCCCTTTGAACAACAGCTAGAGATGGAGTGGCCAGATGTGGGGAGCAGTGTTCAGAAACTGCACAGGGCAGCAGGGCCCTAGGCCATGAAACCAGCCTTCTCTCATAGGCCTCTGGGCCTGTGATGGGAGGGGCTACTGAAAAGGTCTCTGAAATACCTTTAAGGCATGCCCCCACCACTCCCCTACCCTTGTCTTGGCTATTAGCACTTGGCTCCCTTATAGTTATGCAAATATCTCTAGCAAGTGGTTGCTCCACAGCCTCCTTGAATTTTTCTCCCAAAAAGAAAAAGCTTTTTTTTTCTTCTCGGTCACATGTCCAGGCTGCAAATTTTCCACACTTTTTTACTCAACTTCCGTTTTAAATATAAGTTCTAACTTTAGGTCATTTACTGCCACATTTGAGCATATGCTGTTAGAAGTGGCCAGGCCATATCTTGGATGCTTTGCTGCTTTGAATTTCTTCCATCAAATTTTCTAGGTCATCACTCTCAAGTTCAAATTTCCACAGGTCTGTGGGGCATGGACACAATGTAGCCAAGTTCTTTGCTAAGGTATAAACATGGGTGACCTTTGATACAGCACCCAGTAAGTTACTCATTTCCATCTGAGACCTGATGAACCTGGATTTCACTGTCCATATTACTATCAGCATTTTGATTACAACCATTTAAGCAGACTGTAAGAAATTCCAAACTTTCCCTCACTTTGTCTTTTTCTGAGCCTTCCAGACTTCCAGCCTCTGCCCATTACCCAGTTTCAAAGCTGCGTCCACATTTTCAGATATCTTTTGAGCAATGCCTCACTCCTTGGTACCAGTTTTCTGTGTTAGGCCATTTTTTCATTGCTATTAAGAAATTCCAGAGACTGAGCAATTTATGAAGAAAAGACGTTTAACTGGCCTACAGTTCTGCAGGCTTTACAGGAAGCTTGGTGCTGATATCTGCTTGGAGGCCTCAGGAAGTTTACAATCATGGTAGAAGGCAAACGGGGAACAGGCACATCATGTGGCAAAAGGAGGAACAAGAGAGAGAGTGAAGGAAAGGTGCCACACATTTCTAAATGACCAGATCTCACAAGAACTCACTATTATGAAGACAGCACCCAGTCATGAGGGATCTGCCTCCATGACCCAAACACCTCCCACCAGGCCCACCTCCAGCACTGAAAATTATAATTAAACAAGGATTTGAGTAGGGGCAAATATCCAAACTGTATCACAATCATCTTAACCATTTATCATTTTTTTCTATCAGGAATATTGCAATTTCACTCTTTTAGTTATTTTAAAATACACAATAAAATATTGTTAACTATAGCCATCCTATTGCACTACTGAATACTATATCTTATTCATTCAAACTATATTTTTGTACCCATTACCCATCCCCACTTTATCTTCATCCCCCCATTACCCTTCCCCGCCTCTGATAACCATCATTCTACTTTCTGTCTCCATGAGTTCAATTCTTTTGTTTTAGCTCCCACATGTGCATTAGAACCTGTGGTATCTGTCTTTCTGTGCCTGGATCATTTCACTTATAATGACCTGCAGTTTCATCCATGTTGTTGCAAATGACAGGATTTTCTTTTTTATGGCTAAATAATAATCCATTGTGTATATGTACCATGTTTTCTTTACCCACATTTATTTTAAGTTGTTGGACAGTTAGATTGATTTCCTATCTTGGCTATAATAGTAATGCAATAAACATGAAAATGCAGATATCTCTTCAATATATCGATTCCCTTACTTTTGAACAAACACCCAGCTGTGGAATTTCTTGACCATTTTTTCATTCTATTTTTAGCTTTTTGAGAACCCTCCATACCATTCTTCATAGTGACTGTACTACCTAAATTCTCACCAACAGTGTGTAAGATTCCTCTTTATCCACATCCTTTCCAGCATTCATTATTGCCCATTTTTTAGATTAAAGCCATTTTAAGTTTTGATTTTTATTTCTCTGATGATTAATTATGTTGAACATTTTTCCATATACCCGTTGGCTGTTTGTATGTCTTTTGGGAAATGTCTATTAAGATCTTTGGCCCTACTAATTTTTTTAAGCTTTTTATTTTTAGAGACAGGATCTTACTCAGGTTGCAGTGCAGTGATGTCATTATATCTCACTGTAACCTTGAACTCCTGGGCTCAAGTGATCCTCTCACCTCAGCCTCTCTAGTAGCTAGGACTACAAGGACACACCACCAAGCCCAGCTAATTTGCTTTATTTTTTAGCAATAGGGTCTTGCTATGCTTCCCAGGATGGAGGCCAATTTTTAAACTGAATTACATTTTTCCTATAGAGTTGTTTGAGCTCTTTGTATATTCTTATAGCCTTATATATTCCTTGTCAAATGGGTAGTTTGCAAATATTTTCTCACTCTCTGTGGGCTGTCTCTTCACTTTGTTGATAGTTCCCTTTGCTGTGCAGAAAGCTTTTGGCTTAATGTGATCTTTTTTGCCCCTTTTTGCTTCGGTTGACTATGCATTAGAGATCTAACTCAATAAATCTTTGCCCAGAACAATGTCCTAGAGTTTCCCTAAGGTTTTCTGCTAATAGTTTCATAGTTTCAGGTCTTAGATTTAAGTCTTTAATCCATTTTGATATGATTTTTGTATATGGCAAGAGATAGGAGTCTGGTTTCATTCTTCTGAAAATGGATATCCAATTTTCCCATTTATTGAAGAAGCTGTCCTTTCCCTAATGTATTACGTTCTTGACATCTTTGTCAAAAATGAGTTGCCTGTAAATATGCAAATTTATTTCTGAGTTTTCTATTTCATTAGTCCATGTGTCTGTTTTTATACCAGCATCATGTTGATTTGGTTACAATAGCTTTGTAGCATAATTTTAAGTTGAATAATGTGGTTCCTCTGGTTTTGTTCTCTTTGCTTAGCACAGCTTTGGGTGTTTAGGGTCTTTTGTGGTCCCATATCAATTTTAGTGTTTTTTTTCTATGTCTGTGAAGAATGTAATTGGTGTTTTGATAGTAATTGCAATGAATCTGCAAATTGCTTTGAGCAATAAGAATATGTTAACAATAGTGAGTCTTCCAATCCATGACATGGAATATCTTTACGTATTTTTGTGTCCTCTTCAATTTCTTTCATCAATGTTTTGTAGTTTCATTGTAGGGATCTTTCACATCTTTGGTTTAGTTTATTTCTAGGTATTCTATTTTGTTTGTAGCAAATATGAATGGAATTACTTTGTTGGTTTACTTTTCAGATTGTTCACTCTTGTCATACAGAAATGCTACTGATTTTTGTATGTTGATTTTGTATCCTGAAACTTTACCGAATATATGTTTTCATTGTATTCTGCTAGAGTCTTTAGGTTTTTTAAACATAAAATATGTATGCAAATAAGATAATTTGACTTCCTTTCCAATTTGGATGCCCTTTATTTTTTTGTTCTAATTGCTCTGGCTAGGAAACCCATAGTACGTTGAACAAAAGTGGTGAAGGTGGGTATCCTTAGCTTGTTCCGGATCTTAAAGATTTCATTTTTCTCCATAAAATATGACACTAGCTGTGGGTTTTTCATATATGGCTTTTATTGCATTCCTTCTATACTCAGTTTATTGAGGGTTTTTTTCATAAAGCTGTGTGGAATTGTATCAAATGCTTTGTTTTTGACATCAGTTGTAATAATAATAGGGTTTTTTTCTTTATTCTTTTGATACAGATGTATCACATTTATTGATTTGCATAAGTTTAACCATCTTGGCATCCCTGGGATTAATCCCACTTGATCATCATGAATGATCTTTTTATTGTGTTGTTGAATTCAGTTTACTAGTACTTTGTGAGGAGTTTTGCATCTATATTCATAAAAGATACTGGCCTGTGGTTTTCTTTTTACCTTGTGTTTTTATCTGCTTTTGGTACCAGGTTAATAAATTGGCCATGTGGATTGAGTTTGGAAGTATTTCTTCAGCCTTGATTTTCTGAAATAGTTTGAGTAGGATTGGTATTAGCTATATTTCAAATGTTTGGTAGAATTCAGCAGTGAAACCATCAGGTCCTGGACTTTTCTTTTACAGCAGACATTTTATTTTTGCTTTACTGTCATTGTTTTTGGTCTATTCACGTTGCAGATTTTTTTCATGGTTTAATCTTGGTAGGTTTTATATGTCTAGAAATGTAACCATTCCTTCTATGTTTCCTGATTTATTGGCATATAGTTGCTCATAATAATCTCTAATAATTTTTTGAATTTCTGTGGTATCAGTTGTAATGTCTCCTTTTTTATCTCTGATTTTATTTATTTTGATCTGTCTTTTCTAATTAATCTGGCTAAAGTTTTGTAGATTTTGTTTATCTTTTCTAAAAACCAACTTTTCATTTATTGATATTTTGTATTTTTTTGGTTTCAATTTCATTTATTTTTGCTCTAATCTTTATTATTTCCTTCTATTTGGGGGGTGTTTGAGTAGCTCTTGCCTTTCTAGTTCTTCAAGATGCATCTTTGGGTGTTTATTTTAAAGTTTTCTACTTTTTTGATGTAGGTGTTAGTTGCTATTTACTTCCCTAGTAGGACTTTTTTTTTTTTGCTCTATTACATCGGTTTTGGTATGTTGTGTTTCCATTTTCATTTGTTTCACGAAATTTAAAAATTTTCTTTTTAATTTCTTCATTGACCTGATGGTCATTCAGGAGCATACCATGTGTTCGTATTATTTCCAAAGTTCCTCTTGCTATAAATATTTAATTTTATACCATGCGGCCTGAAACAGTAATGTGATTTCAAATTGTTTGAGACTGATTTTGTGGCCTAATATATGGTCTATTCTAAAAAATGTTTCATGTGCTACAGAGAAGAATGTATTCCACAGATATTTGGTGAAATTCTTTGCAAACATTTATTAGGCCTATTTGTTCTATAGTGCAGATTAGGTTTGATGTTTCTCTTTCGATTTTCTGTCTGGATAATTGGTCCAATGCTGAAAGTGGGGTGTTGAAGTTCCTGGCTATTACTGTATTGGTGTCTATCCTTCTCTTTAGCTCTAATAATATTTGCTTTATATATCTGGATGCTCCAATGTTGGGTGCATATATATTTACTACTGTTATGTCCTCTTGCTGCATTGATCTTTTTAATATTATATAATGACCCCTTTTTTACAGTTTTTGTCTTGAAATCTATTTTATCTAATGTTAGTATAGCTACTTGTGCTCATTTTCTTTTTAGTTTTTTTTTTTTACAATTTTTGTCTTGAGATCTATCTTTTCTAATATAAGTACAGCTACTCCTACTCATTTTGTTTTTGTTTTCCATTTACATGAAATAGCTTTTCAGTCCCTTTCTTTTCAGTCTGTGTCTTTATAACTGAAGTTAGTTTCTTGTATGCAACTTATAGTTGGGGTTTCAACTTATAGTTGGGTTTTCAGCCTCACTATGTGTCTTGGAGTCCATTTTCCAATGTTATTATTGATAAGTAAGGATTTACTGCCACCATTTTTTAATTTGTGTTCTGATTGTTTTGTTGGTCCTCTTTTTCTTTCTTCCTTTCTGTTTTCCCCTGTATAAAGGTGTTTTTCTCTGGTATTTTAAAAAAATTCTTTTTATTTTCTGTGTACCTGTTATAGGATTTTTTTGTGGTTACTATGAGGCTTGCAAGTAAAATCTTAAAACCACCTATTTTAAACTGATGACAAGTTAACTCTGATTACAAAGAAAAGGCAAAAATGCAAACTAGCACAGAGAAAACTAAGAAAACTTTACATTGTATATTATTGCAAAATTATAAAACAAGAAGGAAATTTGAAAGCTATTTGACCATTTACTTTTAATTAAGACCTCTTTTATCAGGTTTTAAGTATCACATTTGGAAGACGATTTTCTCCATTATTCTGTTTCTCCAATAACTCAATTGACTCCAAAAATGATCATCAGCAGATGCCTAGATAGTTTATAATCCCATATAAATACTGAATTCTTCTATTACAAGCTTGAGGGGATATTGCTTGAAAATTGCTCTATGTAAAGAAGTAATTTATTCTTACTGTAATTTATCCAGTACAATTAAACAGTAAACTTAAAACACTAGAGCACCATAAGGTTTCTAGATGGTGCCTTAATCAATTACAAGGAAAAATTCTAAGATTCTCTTTTGTCTCATAGAAGTAATTCTTTCACTGTTTTGACTCTAACAACATAGGACGAGTTACATTAGCTGAATATAAGCCAGAATGAAGTGAATTTCCATATGCCATGTAGAAATAAAATTTCTAATAAAACTGCCTCAATATAATTAACACTTGTTATATAAATAGTGCTCAATAAATGTTAGCTTAAATAATTAATTAACTTAAATTTCTTAGACTTACAACTCAACAAGTAAGCAAATGGAACACAATTAAAAAATGGACAAGGAATGTGAATAGACATTTTTCCAAAGAAGATATACAAGCACATGAAAAGATGTTCAACATCACTAGTCAGTAAGGAAATACAAATCAAAGCTACAACTGACACTACCTCACACCAATTAGAATGGCTACTATCAAAAACACAGAAAATAACAAGTGTTGGTGAGGATGTGGAGAAATTGGAACCCGTATGCACTGTTGGTAAGAATGTAAAATTATGCATCCACTAATGGTAAATGGTATTGCAGTTTCTCAAAAAATTAAAAGTATAAGTACTGTATAATCTAGAAATTTCATTTCTGGATATGTCCCTAAAACAATTAAAGCAAGGACTCAAATTGATATTTGCACATCTATGTTCACAGCAACATTATTCACAATAGCCAAACGTAGAAGCAACCTAAGTGGCTATTAAAAGCTGAATGGATAATGGGCTTGGTGGTGCACACCTGTGGTCCCAGCTACTCGGGAAGCTGAGGTGGGAGAATCACTTGAACCGGGGAGGCAGAGGTTGCAGTAAGCCAAGATCGTGCCACTGCACTCCAGCCTGGGTGACAGTGAGACTCTGTCTCAAAAGTTAAAAAAAAAAAAAAAAAAAAAAAACTGAACGAATAAGCAAAATGTGCTATATCCATACAACAGAATATTCAAATTTAAAAAGGAGGAGAATTCTGACACATGCTACAACATAAATGAAACTTGAGGACATCATGTTATGTGAAATAAAGTAGTCACAAAGGACAAATACTGTGTAATTCTACTCATATGAGGTACATAGGTAAATTCATAAAGACAGATAGTAAAATGATGGTTGCCAGGGGCTGGAGAGTCAAAGAGAATAGAAAGTTATTGTTTAGTAGGTCAAGTTTCATTTTAATATGATGAAAATGGTTATGTGGCTATATGGTAGATGGTGGTTATGCTGGCACAACAATGTGAATAAATTATGATTAATGGTGAAAATTAGAATTTTGGATACTAAAGTTAACATATCAAACAAGGTGCCCAAATTATTTCAAAACTATCATGAACACCTTGAGCAAAGTAACTGTATGTTACATTTTTGTACCCTCAGCAGCTAAACTAGGACCCAAAATTCCGTTGCTTAAAGATTATTTAACTGATCTGCAAAATGAACATTTTCAATGAAAGTTGGTTTTCCTTTACTCTTAAGATGGAAAAGTGAGTGGGGCTTGAATTACATAAGCAGCATGACTTGAATTTTAACATAACCTTTTAATAAATGACTAAATGAGCTACAGTCTGTGGGCCAAATGCAGAAAAATCTGAAAAGTATGTGAGGAATCTCCACATAGAAAAATAGTTGTCTTTCCTGGGGAGTAAAACAGAAATGTCTAGAAATGTAAAGTAAGATGATTAGACATCTGTCCAATGAGGATTTTTAAATCAAAATGGAAAACCATGACAAGTTTGACATCTATACCTCTGATGATTTAAATAATCCATTTTAATCTGATTAGGATGACTTAGAAATGATTTTGCTTAATATTTACAGAGGAAGGCAGGGTAAAGTAGCTTTCCTGAAAGCATAAAATTTTATGAAATATCTTTACCCTGCAAAGAATAAATCTAATTTAAATTATACAAATATTATTTGATTTGAGCAATGCTATGTAGAATGGAAAAACATTAGGATACAAAGTGGTGCCTTAATAAATGCAAAATTCTAAAATTGTAACTATTCTTTGAATTATGTATAATTAAATCTATATTTTATTTCAAGAGAATTGAATTACAATAAAGCAATGAAACCCACTAAACACATAAAAATCCTGTTTTTCCATCTTATAATGTTACTGGCGACTCCATTTTAGCATATAGAGACCTGTCTGATATTTAAGTATATTCATCTTAATTACTAATAAAATGATATCAAAGTAAAAAAGAACAAAACTGCTTTTATGGAGGGTAGGAGGAGGGAGATGATCAGGAAAAATAACGAATGAGTACTAGGCTTAATATGATACATGGATGACCAAACAATCTTTACAACAAACCCCTATGACACAAGTTTACTTATAACAAACCTGCACATGTACCCCTGAATTTACAATAAAAGTTAAAAGAAATAAAAATAATTAAAAAAAAAAAAAAGAAACACTCTTCGGAGAAAAAAAAGGAAAAATTCTAGGATGCTAAAAAATGAAGTCATTTTTTTTCTGCTTTACTTTTACCTAAAATACAAAAACAAAACCAACTATTCATGAATTAAATACATTCCAGGAAAAATGTGCAACACATAGGGTTTTACGAACACACAAGGGTTGTAAGAGTTTGCTGTATGTTACCTTTCTGTTTTCTGACACATGCTGCCTTCTGTTTAAGGATCTACATACAAAGCTTCCTAGGGAAAGCAATTCTAACGCCTACCGAAGCTGTGACTTGCAATTTCATCACTTAAAATTCTCGGTTTTCTTCTGACTCTAACGGAATTTTTTTTGGAACCTAGAAGTAATAAATGATTAAAAGTCAGTCACTTCTGGTTCTCCAGACTAAATTCAGGTAGGAATAAAGCTGGAAGTGACAACCTGCAAACTGGTCCCCAGTCCTCGAATGCACACTTTCCCTTCTGGCTCTGCTCTGTACCTGAAGATACTGGCCCCTCCCAGCATTTCTCAGGCTTCCCTGCCAGGCGACTTCCCATGGGTTTGGCCTATGACAGGTCTTGGCAGAAGGCTAAAAGCTGGAGAAAGGGAGAAAGGAATTTTCCTCTTTTCCTCTCTCTGCCTTGGGTGTTTTTTCTTATCTAGCTATATCTGAGTGAAGCAGAGTGAGAGAGTTCTTGTAAGAACATGACTTTTGTCCAAGATTCAAGAGCTAGATGTTAACTCAGACTCTCATGTCAGCTTCTGTCCTAGAGGAGGCACAGTGGTGGCTGGCTGGAGTATCACATTTGACTTTTTCTTCTAAACCCTCATTCTGCTAATCTAGTCTTAGAAGTAATTAAGCAGATATAAAAAGAAGGTTTTAAAAAGAGTGGGGCAGGGCACAGTGGCTCACACCTGTAATCCTAGCACTTTGGGAGGCTGAGGTGGGTGGATTGCCTGAGCTCAGGAGTTTGAGACCAGCCCAGGCAACACGGTGAAACCCTGTCTCTACTAAAATACAAAAAAAATTATCTGGGCGTGGTGGTGTGAACCTATAATCCCAGCTACTCAGGAGGCTTAGACAGGAGAATCGCTTGAACCCCAGAGGCAGAGGTTGCAGTGAGCCGTGAGCATGCCACCGCACTCCAGCCTGGACAACAGAGCAATACTCTGTCTCAAAGAAAAAAAAAAAAAAGTGAAAGAACAAAATATGCCTCATAATCAAGCATCTTAAATGTCAATGGTTTAAGAAAAATAAAGTCCATGATGTTTAGACCATTCAATAAACCAGTTAAAAATAAATATTTAAGTCAGTCAGTTTGTATACTTCACTAAACGTTTGCATTAGAAGTCAAGAACTTAATTTGCCATGCCCCTGCCCCTGCTGTATCTCCAATATCTGAAACTCAGCCTAACACAAAGTTGGCTCTCAATAAATGTTTGAATAAAGGATTAAATGAGCATTAAAGAAGGATCTAAAGAAAATTTCATACCAACAATAAATAAAATTATACATTTAGTTTAGTTTTTCTTGTTTGTTTTTTACTTGTCTCTAGTGCTTATTATTATCATAAAATAATTGTAAAGGTGTAAATTTTTGTCAGCCATGAATTTTCCTTTAATCATCAAAGAAGTTGGAGTCTCCATCCCTCACCCCACACTCATAAATATATGAGATATATATATATATATATATATATATATATATATATATATATTTTTTTTTTTTTTTTTTTTTTTTTTTTTTTTGAGACGGAGTTTCATTCTTTTTGCCCAGGCTGGAGGGCAGTGGCATGATCTCGGCTCACTGCAACCTCCGCCTCCTGGGTTCAAGCGAGTCTCCTGCCTCAGCCTACCCAGTAGCTGGGATTACAGGCTCCTGCCACTACACCCAGCTAATTTCTTTTTGTATTTAGTAGAGATGGGGTTTCACCATGTTGGCCAGGCTGGTCTTGAACTCCCAACCTCAGATGATCCACCTGCCTCCATCCCGCAAAGTGCTGGGATTACAGGCATGAGCCACCATGCCTGGCCATATATGGGATATATTCTAAATCAGTTGCCCATTTTTTTTTTTTGGCTGACTCTTTAATGGAATAACCAGATATTTTGGTTTCATATCATCACAGCCAAGTGTGCAGTAACTAAAAAGATGATTTCAAATGATATCTACACTTAACAACATGCACCAACTTCACCATATGTTTTCTACCCTTGTCAACTTGTTTATGTGACATTTTATCTGCAGGCAACAGCTTTGTTCCTCATGGCTGGAGTCACATACTGTGAAAACAAACAGAATGAGAGGTAGATAGAAACTACTCAGTGAACTCACCTGTGCTTGAGGCAGCCTCACATTGAGATTCTAGTGACTTCATTCTAGGGAAGCTCACAACCAAAGAGAGTTCCTCAAAGTCCCTTTTCCTGAGCTCTGAACAGAGGGAATCTATACTGCAGTGGCAACTGACTGATGAAAGTTCCTGCATGTTTGTGTGCACACATGAGCTCATGCCGCATACATGTATGCTTTTGTTCCGTACAAGTTCCTCCCTTAACCCTCTGCCAAAGTATCAACAGTAGTTACCTTTAGTGAGAGGGACTTGTGGAATAGAGGGGACATTTTTTTTTTTTGCTTTATAACTTTCCATATTAATTATGTATTTTCCTTTCAAGAAATAAGATGCTTTTAAGAGGAAACATTAAAAAATTCAATATACAAACGTCTCTTGAATTGGTTTGATTATTATCATTTCTAGTTCGAGATTTGCAACTAGACTTTCCCACATGACTAGGAGCTTGATGTGGAGAAAAAGATTCAAAGTGTATTTAAATACACCAGAAGCATTAATTATCCCTGTGTCCTCTCTTTCACTGAGGAAGAGAAGGATAGCCATCAATTAAAACAAGAAGTTAAGTTTTTACCACCTTAATCTAAGTTTTGGAGAGGAGGGACTAGTATGACCTCATAGGTTCTGTCCTTGTCTGGTCATTGTCGAAATGGCTTTTTTTTTTTTTTTCTTTTTTTAGACGAAGTCTCACTCTGTCGCCCAGGCTGGAGTGTAATGGCATGATCTCGGCTCACTGCAACCTCCGCCTCCCGAGTTCAATCAATTCTCTGTCTTAGCCTCCCAAGTAGCTGGGATTACAGGTGCCTGCCACCATGCCAGGCTAATTTCTGTATTTTTAGTAAAGATGGGGTTTCACTATCTCGGCCAGGCTGATGTTGAACTTCTGACCTCGTGATCCACCCACCTCGGCCTCCCAAAGTGCTGGCATTACAGGTGTGAGCCAGTGCGCTGGCCAGAAATAGCTTTCTTAAGGTGACCTTAGAGAATGCAAAATGACAGCATTAACTGAATGTGTGCCTTGTTGCCATAGTCTATCCCAGAGAACTGGTCATTGAACACACTAACTTAATGGACAGTTTGACTGTAGCAGCATCAATAAGATTGACCAAGAAAGCATTCAGTGCATCAGTTACTCATTGTTTGGGCTTTCCAGGGACAAGTAACCCACACATCGTTATAAAACATTCAGGGAAAAGCCAATATACTATTACATCAAAAACATATTTAAATTTAAATTGCAGCATAATATTAGGTTATACCAGGCAATAATATTTCTAAGGCATAGAGACTTCATGTCTGGCCACTAAAGAAAGAAAGTTTCATTACCAGGTGGCAATTGCTTAGAGATCCTTACAGCCCAGAAAGAATGTTGTCCCAGAATTCATGGTGTCAAGACCTGTCTTAGTGTGACTTGAGTTGGGTTACTTGAGAAACAGACTTTGATATGGGTACTTGCTGGCAGGAGGGTTGTTGGAGAGTAATTTGGGGAAAAACTTTAAGGAAGTAAGGGAAAAAGGCTTGGGGAGAGGAAGAAATTTAAGTGTGATTCAGTTTAAACAGAGACCTTGGCCAATTCTACAGGGAGCTCTGGAATTGATAGAGCCATTCAGAACTGTCCCAATCCTAGGCAAGGTGGCCAGGCTTTAACACCTCTGCATCAACTGCTCATCAGATGCAGATGTAACACTGGACAAGGCAACTCTCTTTGGCTGAAGACAAGTCTTGATGAGGGACTCAGATGTGAGTCATCAGTAGCTGTCATCCCTTGAAGCTCTGAAAGTAAGTACCTTGGTCCCAAAGGATGGATAGGGTGGAATACCACAGCCTCCTATACATAGGATGTCTAAACTACTGGGCATGTACCTAGTGCTAATAAGTCTGTCTCATGTTTCATCTGTCAGATTAAACTGTGTTGAATATAGTTTTAAATAACAATTAAGGCTGGGAACGCTGGCTCACACCTGTAATCTCAGCACTTTGGGAGGCCGAGGTGGGTGGATCACAAGGTCAGGAGTTTGAGACCAGCCTGACCAACATGGTGAAACCTCGTCTCTACTAAAAATACAAAAATTACCCAGGTATGGTGGCACGCATCTGTAATCCCAGCTACTTGGGAGGTTGAGGCAGGAGAATCACTTGAACCCAGGAGGCGGAGGTTGCAGTGAGCTGAGATTGCGCCACTGCACTCCAGCCTGGGCAACAGAGCGAGACTCTGTCTCAAAAAAAATCAATAAATAAAAAATGAAAATAACAGTTAAAAGTCTATAAATTTTGTCGTCTTAGAATATTTGATTCTAGAAATTGAAGACCTTGTTTCTGAATGATAATATTCTGCAAATATTAAGAGGATATGGTGTTGATAAGAAAGTATACTACATTTCCTACACTGTTCTCACTAAATTAAATGGTATTAAAAGTTTCAGATTAAAGGACTAGCACTGACAGCAATAACATTATTATTTAGAAGTACTGATCATTACGATGAGATGTGCTATTGTACGTAAATGTCCCTATCATCTTATCTGTCTAATCTGCTTATCTACCTATAATTTTAATCGGATTCTAAGACATATCTGTGATCCCAAATAGTTGAGGATCAAGAGTTACAAAGATAAATATCACAGTCCCTTGCCTATGGTTCCTCCACTTCACTAAAGATACTGCTAATAAGGCCCCTTTCATGGCCACACACTGAAAATGAAGCATAATTATTAATATATGTAAAGAGTCTTTGCTCAGAAATTGTAGTCTGGAATTTCAAGATGCTGGCTTTCTCACTTACTGTGTGAACAAAAACAACCCTTTAATCCTCCTAGATTTCAGACCATTTATGGGAAATGGGAATAAGAATCCCTGCCTCACAGGGCAATGGGAAAGCTTAACCAAACTCTAGTATGTGCAGGGGCTTGTACAGTACTTAGCACAGAGTAGACAGACACTCATTGTTAGCCAGTATTACAAATTATTGTTCTTATTGTCCCACCCCACCTCCACCAACACTTACTTTAAAGTCTTATGAGTTTTGAGGAGTAAGAGAAGATCACAGAAAGGAAAATGGTAGATGAAAATTGGTTAAGTCTCAGAGAGAAAGAGCACTGAAATACAAATTTTCACACATGCTGAATATGATTTCTCAATGAAAAGATGTTACAATATCTTGTAACTGGTATGAAGTATATCAGGGACTAAAATTAGTGTCATATATTGACATAAAGTGTAATATATAAAAGGTGAAATATTTATACGATCTGAAGAGAAACCAGAGTATATTGATATAACGTGTAATATGTATCACAATTAGAGTCAACTGATTATCAAGGGATCAAGTGGTAGTGCAAGTCTAAAAAAGTAGCTTCTGGGAAGAAGCTAAAAGAAAAATAATATGTTAATACCAGACCAATATTAAAATCAGCCACAAGTTATATAGTAAACAAAATTGAAAATATAGTGAATTGATCATAACAGTGTCCCTTTCTTTGATCCAAGCCTTCAAAATAAAGACATTATTCCTTCAAGGGAACAGTCTTAAAGACCTCCCACCGTGTTGTATATAGAAAGATATGCTATACTGATATTTACATTATGAGAAACCTACTACTTCTAAATATTAAATTACTTAAAATTAACAATGTTTATTTTGTATGTTAAGGGTGTAGGACATCCCTCTTGGAATAGTTTAATTTCCACTTTTCAGCAACCGAATATTATTTTATTTCTTTTCCCGTTTGGAGATTGGTGTGGAAGAGGAGTGGAGAATGCACGTGTAAGATGAGGATAGTGAAATGAGAAAAGATAAAATTAATGTCTCATTTTCCTTTGAGGGACTAATTTTGATTATGTACAGTTTTTTCTCTAGCACTGAATCAGTTAGGACTCTTAATTGCAAGCAAAAGAAACCAAATCTGAC